>NC_000004.12:181951684-182254714 GCF_000001405.40 Homo sapiens | reverse complement strand
ATAGGTTATGACCAAAGAAATAAAAGACTTCTCACACACGTTCAAATTCCTCCAGCTTACTAGGTTTAAATGAAAAAATTAGCATTTCAAAAGGATTACTACTTTCAGTGTAACATTTACCTAAATAAGGGAAATTCTGCTCTGTTAACCAAAGCCTTCTGCTGCTTTTAAAGACCTGAAAGAATATAAAATACTCCAGTCTTTTTCGAGGAAGCCATACTTGAACAATGCTAAATACCGGAAGAATGACTTCCCAATTCATTTTCATGAGTCGACTGATATTTTTGTGAAATATTTTTATCTTATTCTCTTTTAAAATGTTTTAAATGAGAATTTCTTTTCTATCATGTTTTAAAGCTTCAATAACTACAAAAAAAAAAAGAGAGAGAGAAAAAGTCCTCAAAAAAGGGAGAGAATGTGGGTGGAACGGCTGAAGATGGAACGGCTCATGGGTCCTTAGAGAACTGTAAGAAGCCACCCAAAGTCTTCCATTGTCTTTATCCAGCCTGCGTGATCCTTTGTTTTACACTGCACATGTAGATTTCACATAGGGGCATTAGGTTTTGAATTTTTCTCCCTTGAGAAAATACGCTCCACCAGACAGAACACGATTTGGCATCAAGAAACTAATGTCCACTTCAATATAATAATTAAAACATCCTTTTCTGTAGGAAAAAGATTAGAATTAAAAAGAATGGGTGAAAGATACAAGGAAATGTAGACTGACTAAAGGCAAACATAAAATATACAAAATGTATACATCAGTTTTAAAGCTGATCAAGTGTATCGTTATTTTGATTGCAGTGTTTTCTTTCAGAGTTTACTTTTTGCTGTAAACTGTATTTTTTTTAAGGCATTTACTGGGTTTGCAACATCTGCTATCTCGATTTAGAGGCAAATGTCACTTCACTTTCAATCCCTCTTGTAAGTATGAACTTCGTTTAAACAAAATAGATTAGATAATGTCAATTAATCTTAAAAGATAAAAGTTTGCTTCAATTTAAAAAGATAATATATCTTTATTTTTCAGAGGCTAATGATTGTGTGGAGGAAGGAGAGGCAATTTAAGAAAAACAAATATTACAAGGAGAAGCTCAAAATTTTTTTTATCAAAGAAAACATTTATCTAAGATATCTGAAGTATGCCTTCCATATAAAAGTGGTCTATTCAGCCTGAAGCCTGGAAAATTTCATATAATCCCATAAATTTCTTTGTATAAATCTTCTGTTATTTTTCTGGGGGGACAGAGTTTTGCTCTTGTCGCCCAGGCTGGAGTGCAGTGGTGCGATCTCAGCTCACTACAACCTTTGCCTCCTGGGTGCAAGTGATTCTCCTGCTTCAGCCTCCCAAGTAGCTGGGATTACAGGCACGTGCCACTACACCCGGATAACTCTTTGTATTTTTAGTAGAGATATGGTTTCACCATGTTGGCCAGGCTGGTCTCAAACTCCTGACCTCAGGTGACCCACCCACCTCGGCCTCCCAAAGTGCTAGAATTACAGGTGTGAGCCACCACACCCGGCCTCTTGGTATAATTCTTACTGGGGATGATGGAGCAACATGAAGCCAGTGTTTCTGGATGTTCACAGACTTGTGTTAAACCCTAAAGTAAAATGTGACACAAGAGAGATAAAGCCTCTATTGTTTAAAACAAACAAATAAAAAAATCATTTTCTTTCTCCTTTCAGAGGTAGTTTCGTGTCTGCCGGCAGAGTTCATGGGAAAATATAGCCAAGGCCTTTGATACAGAGAGGCCTGGGTCCAGATCCTTGCTCTACAAATTCTGTGACTTTGGGCCGATTCTTCACCTACATGAAGCTGGGTTTCTTTGTCTGCCGAACTAAGAGCAACTACTGCTCCAAATTGAAAGGACTGTTGTGACTGTTGCAATGTGATTAAATGAGACACACGGTGAAGCTCCTGGCACTTAACGGACACTGAATAAATGCCGATTTGCTTCCTTTTATTAGCCAGGTGTCATTTTATGTATAAAATTTCTCAGCTAAAGTACTGAGCCCAAAGGTATCCCAGAGCCTTTTTATAATAATTATGCCATTTAAATATGCAGGTAAATTCTGTGAGTAGGATAAGCCTCTACGTAACAGTGATCTGGAAAAAAATAACAATAGGAGGGACTCTGAAGGTCTATGAAGAAAGTCTGAGTGGAAAAAATCTTATTTAAAAGTCAGTTGCTCAATAAATTGTAAGTCAGTAGTTATGTTTATTGCATTCTTTATTTTAATATTCATGTATTTTAAGTATGCTGATTTGCCAACTGCACACTAAATCACATCGTTATTTAAATTTTTTTCCCTTTCAAATCTCCATGAAAGCAATTTCTACTCTCACAGCAGCATACAACTGATGGAGAGATTTTAGAGGTCTTAAAAGCTTTGCACTCCATATTTGTTTGACTCATAAGGAGCATAATGAAAGAAAGTCGTGTGTATACTTAAATAATTAAGAGCAATTGACTGGTCTGGACGTGTGACATTCTCAGCAACCACATTTTTTTGTTGTTTTTTTTTTTTGAGATGGAGTCTCACTCTGTTGCCGAGGCTGGAGTGCAGTGGCGTAATCTTGACTCACTGCAACCTCCACCTCTTGGGTTCAAGCAATTCTCCTGGCTCAGCCTCCCGAGTAGCTGGGACTACAGGCATGTACCACCACACCCAGCAAGTTTTTGTATTTTTCGTAGAGATGGGGTTTCACCATGTTGGCCAGGCTGGTCTCCAACTCCTGACCTCAGGTGATCTGCCCACCTCAGCCTCCCAAAGTGCTGGGGTAACGGGCATGAGCCACAGCACCTGCCAGCAATCTCATTTAATTCAAATGCAGGTATTCAAAGTAACATATTGAAATGAATAAAGTAACCCACTGTAATGGATAGATCTCATTTACAGTCACCAAGAATTTTATGTTCTGTGCATGTTTTAACCCAAAGTTGGAGAGAGCATCTTTACTTGTAAGATACACAGTGTCAGCATGTATCATGAAACTTAAACAGATTTCTCCCATTTAAGAAGACAGCACTTACACCTCGAGGAGGGAATAGAATTCTAGTGATTACTAAACAATCGACCATCTCATTTTATATCTTAAGTTCAGAGTTGTAAAAGGGTGACTCTATACTGGGAAAGAAGGCCCACCTAGTATGAAAAAGCATAGCCGTAATTTAATTTTCTCCCACACTTTTCCATTTTAACAGTAAAAGACAACTTCCCATCATCGCTTTTGTTTTGTTTTGAGACAGGGTCTCGCTGTGTCACCCAGGCTGGAGTTCAGTGGTGTGATCATGGCTCACCGCAACCTGGACCACCTGGGCTCGAGTGATCCTCCCACTTCAGTCCCCCACGTAGCCAGGACTACGGGCACATGCCACAATGCCTGGATAATTTTTTATTTTTGTAGAGACAGGGTCTCGCTATGTTGCCCAGGCTGGTCTGGAACTCGTGGCCTCACCCAATCCTCCTGCTTCTGCCTCCCAAAGTGCTGGAATTACAGGCATGAGCCACTGTGCCCAGCCCCCATGATGACTTTCTAAGTGGAAAGGTTTTTTTCAGTTCCCAAAATTGATAACCTGGAAATCCAGACCTCAAAATGCAGTCCTTTAATTAAGGCCCCGAACCCTTCAAATGAAGATGTCTTTGGGACTCTGGAACACTGAGAGGCTCTGCTGATTGGTGGGAAAGGCTCTTGTCTCTGGGCAAATCTCTCACTGTTTAGAGCCTTTAGATAGTTAAGAAAATCAAATGTGAACAAACCCTTGTTTGCATAACAAATTCTTATCCATCTGAAATGCCGCACCATTAAATAAGCTTCCAGCTGGAATCAGGTGACAGTTGGTGCGGGAGACCTTATCAATTCACCATTGCATGTTTAATATTCTATGCACTACGTGAGAATTTCTACAGTGTGAATGTTTTTAGTCAACAGAAATATAAAAATGCTTATTTTTAAAATATTAAATCTTCATTAACCTGGAAAAATGCGGTTAGCCAGAATGACTAATTTCCTGGAGGTTATAGATAGTTTAGGTTTTTCTCTACTAGCTGGAAATCATTCACACGTAAGAATTCTTTGGCTTTACAAAAAAGTCACTGATCTGTCCAAACATGAACCAAATTCGTTAGCGATTTCCCTCCAACATGTAGTACACTGAAGTGGGAAATCTGGGGTTTGGCAAAGGAAAACCTACATTCAAAATCTCACTCTATCCTTTACGAGTTGTGTTACCTTAGGTAAGTTACTTAACTTTTCTGTTTCTCTTTCTATTCCATTTCCTCATCTGCCAAATAAGGATAATAAGGCCAAGTGGTGCATTAAAACAAAAGATGTAACAGTTGAAAAATAACTAGAACAGGCCAGGCGCAGTGGCTCACACCTGTAATCCCAGCACTTTGGGAGGCTAAGGCGGGTGGATCATGAGGTCAGGAGATCGAGACCATCCTGGCTAACACAGTGAAACCCCGTCTCTACTAAAAATACAAAAAAGTAGCCGGGCGTGGTGGCGGGCGCCTGTGGTCCCAGCTACTCGGGAGGCTGAGGCAGGAGAATGGCGTGAACCCAGGAGGCAGAGCTTGCAGTGAGCCCAGATCGCACCACTGCACTCCAGTCTGGGCGACAGAGCAAGACTCCGTCTCAAAAAAAAAAAAAAAAGAAAAAAGAAAAGAAAAAGAAAAATGACCAGAACAGTGCAGACCACATAGTTGTTTGCAATCAAATCATTTTTAACAGCTGACTAAGCCTAGACAACATAGCGAGACTCCATCTCTTAAAAAAAAGTAGCCAGGCATAGTGGTGCATACTTGTAGTCTCAGCTACTCGGGAGGCTGGGTGGAGGATCCCTTGAGCTCAGGCGTGTGAGGCTACAATCAGCTATGACTGAACCACTGCACTCCAGCCTGGGTGACACAGCAAAACCTAGTCTCTAAAAAAACTAAATAAATAAAAAATAAAAACCACTAACTAAGAATATTTATATAAAAACATCACAATTGCTCAAAATATTTGCAACCCCTCTCTATCAGACCCATCCTCAGAGGTCCCCAACCCCCACCACCACCACTTAGTGCCCTCACTGTGGGGGGACGTACATTTCCCACCCCATTCGTTGTATGATTTGCTTTGGCCAAGAAGATGTGAGAGGAAGCGGTTCAGTCTACGATGGAGCAGAAGATTTTAAGAGCCAGTGCATGGTCCACCATTGTGTTTTCCTGCTGTGAGAGCAGAATATGTGAGATAATAGTTTCTCCTTCTAGTACGAAAACAGCATGGAGTACAGCCACTATCAACTCATATAACTCACAAAATATGTAAAAAAATAGACCTTTGTTGTAAGTCATAGATTTGGGGATTATTTGTTATCACAGCTTAACTCAGCAAAAGCTTACTAATCATTTTAACAATGTCATTGCTTGGAGGTAGGCAGCTGCAGTGCATTCAGAAAAGCACTGGCCCTGAAATCGGAAAACCTAAATTCCACTTCCATCTGGCTGCGCGACCCAGGTAACTCATGACCACATGACTCCCATTTCCACAGCTGGTGGTGTGGGTGATAGCATGTCCTCTACCACTTATTAGCTATGCAGCTCTGGCCAAGGAATTTAATCTGTCTGTGTCTTAATTTCTTCATCTGCAAAATCGGAATAAAACTATACACCTCACAGGGTTGTTCTGAAAATTCACAAGTTAAAACATATAAAGTTTGTAGAGGAGGGTCTGGCACATAGTAAACACTCAATACATGTTTATTATGTTATTGTCCTATTGCTATTACTATTGCACCTTTTTCATAGGTTTTAGAGGCCTAAAGGTGTTTGGGGAAGTGCTCTGTAAACTATAAAGTGCTCTGTAGATATATATGGTTATAAAGAACTTTCCACATCTCATTTGCAACCCTTTGGTAGTTATGAGGAACTCGGTAACAGCAGGGTTTTTGTCAGGTTTACTGTGGTATCCCAGGCCTTCAAATATGAGCTGGCACGTAGTAGGCATGTAATTATTTGTTGAATGAATGAAGGAAAATCGTGGTCTCCTTTGTAATCCACTCAATGCAGATGCTATTTTAAAATTACATTGTTACTGACTGAATCTCCGCCAGTTCCATAAATCAAAGCTTCATATACGCAAGCTTATTTCAGGTACTGAGTATATTTAACCATCTACTTAAATTACCCAACTTACTAGATCTATGTTAAACAAAAATACCACATGTCATCACTTTTCAGCAGAGATCAGAATAATTGGTACTACACATTAGAAGAATCACCTCAAATTAAAGAATGTACAATAATGCCTTTGATCACTGTACAATAGAGTACATGTCAACATTTTTTATACTCTGAATGATGAAAATGGTCTAAGAATTTCCATTTTTTTTCTTTGACAATAAGGCTAAGACTATTGATATACTTTTTTAGTGACACTTTATTTTTATTTAAAATTTTTTTTATTATACTGTAAGTTCTGGGATGTATGTGCAGAACGTGCAGGTTTGTTACACAGGTATGCGTGTGCCGTGGTGGTTTGCTGCACCCAGGCACTTTATATTTTAAAAGCAAATTTTAACTGAAATATAGTGAATAAAATAATGAAATGTATTTCATATATGCTTGCTTAAAAGCCTAAAGGCAATTATAAGTGATGTATTTCAGATCAACTTTCAAAACTGCATATTTGAAGTCCAAATTATCTGAAAATCCCCCATTAAATAAAGTTAAATAATATTTTCTATGTCACTGACAAACAGCAATGGCACTATTGTACTTCATGGCTTAGGAAACACAGAAGAGTTTGCGTGGGGAGCTTTGCAGGGAAAGGGTGAGGGTGCATTTGCTAGAGTTTGGGAAGTTATTTTTAAGACTTCTCACCAATGTTCACAGTTCTTTATTTTTCCCAATAAAATTTTGTTAAGTATTGAAAATAATTCTGCTTTTACTCATATCACAGAATTATAAAATCCTAGAATTAGGTATAATCTGAGAGGTTGCCTGAGCCATCCTTGGTCCAGTTGCTACTGCGATTTACTTATTTGTCATTTCAGTAAACACTGACTGAGCATCCACCCGCAGGTACTTGCCAGAGATATAACATGGACAGAAAACAAAGTCACTGGCCTGAAAAATCTTAAAATCTAGTAAATTAAAGCTGTCCTTGCCTAACAACACTTTGTGACTAGAAACTAACAGCGCAGCTTTGTGAAGCTGCTCGTTCCATTTTTGGATGGATGAGGTCAAGGGTTAAAGTGCTTCCTTCTAAGGCGGGTGAGTTCTGCCTTAGCCATGGCCCCTTTCAATGGTCTGAGGGCCACTCTATGGAACCATCATCTGTGTAATGCTTCCAGTAGATCACATCTCAAATAATCAGACATTTATCATGGCTCTCTCTCCAGTCTTCTCTTCGTAAGACAACCAACCCCCAGTTCCGACTGCGCTCTTCATAGGGTTTTTCTTCCAAACTCCTCACCATTCTGGTATCCACCTCTATATGTCAATTTCTTGCTGCAGCACCTCAGGACTGATCAGCACACAGAGAAACACATTGCCTTCCCTTTCCAAAATCACATCTAACTCGTTTCTCTTTGCTCATTAGATTCTAGCTCGACTCATATTTTTCTGTCCTTCAAAAACACCATTTCTGGTGTTCTTCGCATCTTTACATTTGCCCATCTCTGCGTCCTCCCACAGCTGCCCACACGGCTGGTTCCGTCTCATCCTGAGAGCTTCGATGTGGGCATCGCCTCCGCAGAGAGGCATCCCTCGTGATCCACCTCAATCAACTTCCCCTCCACTCCCAGTCACTACCTCATCTCTCGTTTTAGTCTCAGTTTAACAGCGATGATTATCGGAACTTATCTTCTTTGTTTAGTTATTTACTGGCGGCTTCCTCCCTAGAAAGTGAGTTCATCCCTGCACTGCTGTCGTCTGCAATAATGCAAGGCAAAGCGAAGGACGAGAGGGAGGGAACGCCCCCGCCCTGGAACCTACATGGCATGATTCATATCTCTCTATTTCTTATGAATACAGTCAAGACGGCACAAGCTTTTCTGGCAGACATAGCCCATTTGTTTAAGGTCAATAAAACCGTGTCTTTGTCACATACGGACGAGACACATTCTTACGTGATGGGATCGTGCTGCAGAATTTTAGAAGGAGGGCTGGTTTGCTGGATTCAAACTACTACTCCGGCTCTATTTTTAGTCTCTTATCCAACACCACCTCCTTCCTGTCAACAATGGCTTTGATACCCACACCATCTATATCCTAGAAAAGGAAGACATTTCTACCTCCTGTGCTCTTTCAGAGCGGGGCCTGCTTCGTGTCCACTGCTTATCTAAAATGTTATTCCTGAGGGGCGGGGGTGGGGGCTCATAGCGAATCTCATTCATAAGCGCTGCTTTGTTTTTCTCTCTGTGTTGCTTCCATGACTTCTTTTTAAAAAATTCTTTCTTCCCCTATGCCTTGGGGCTGCTGGCAGTGGTGGTAAATCCTGCTGATGACCCGGGGTTAGATAATTAGTGGTACCTAGATTGCATTCATTTTATCAATGAGACAACTTCTAGGAGTTTCATTTCAGGCCACTTAGGAAAACACATAGCCAGAAGGTGCCACCCTCTGCCATAGCGGTTGCTGCCTCTGTTTGTTCAACATAAGAGACAAGTGAGCTCTTACGCTATTTCCCGTGACTTGCAGAGCCAGGGAGTGCTACCAGAAAAGGAGTCACTGTTAACCACAGAGTGAGGATCCAGCAGGAGCGCCCGCCAATAAAATGTTACATCGGTATCAAATATAAATCAGAAACAGCTTTCCCTAAATTCCTATATTTATTAACTAACACAAATCTGTAAAATCACTGAAGGCAGTTATTGTTCTACTGGTTTTATTGCTCATCAACGGAAAAGTTAAGAAACCAGCTCAGAGTCCTAAAGCAAGTTGCAGCATTGACACAACAGTAGCCTCTTAATCCCTTTCTCTCTCCTGTGGCTGGCCCTGGAAGAGAGGAAGTTTTCAGTCCTATGGCCGTGTCACATGTCAATATCCTGGGATAACTGGTTCCAAAAGATTCTGGCAGGGACTACGGTCATCACATTAATCTAAAGAATGGAAGTAACATGTGGACTGCCTCAGTTCAAACAGACCACAGTTGCTAAACAGAGACCCAAACTGGGCCACGACGCTGCCTTCATTTAGGAGACGAGACAGAATTTAAAGGAAAGCACTGATTGCTGGAAAAGCAACAGAGAATTAAAACAAAATTTGCAATCTCAATTGGAATTTCTGATTTACTCTTGGGGCCACCTGAGAAGCAATGTGTGACACAAATCAACAACAACAGCAAAGAAATGAAGATCAGATAGATTCCTTTCTACTTGCTCTTTCACTTTTCTAAATGATGCCGGAGGATGCTACATCACATGAGACAGAGCAAAGTTGCTGGAGCCACTCTCTCAAGAGGACTCTGGGGCTGGAAACAATTGTGTCTTGTTCCCTGACACAGTCTTGGGAAACAAAGCCCATGGATTAAGTAAACTCACCCAATGATCCCATCCTGGGCAAAAAGAGAATGATTCCAGCATGCAGACCCTCAGTATTCCCATAGCAAGTGACCTCTGCCCATTAAACAAACAATAGCACAGCCTAACACTCGATTGTTTTGAATGTTTCTGAAGCCTTTGCTTCATTCCCAAAACACTAGAAAGTATCACTGCAGAGGATTAAAAGCATTCATTGATTATGGAATGTAGACATTACAATAAAAAGAGACTCTAGAAATTTAATTTTGTGAAGAAATGCAAGATTCTCATTAATTTAATTAGAACATAAATAACATCAAGCATAGCTAATAAAGTTCAACATGATTTGATTTGCATGAGGCTCTATTAATGTAAGAAGTAAAGTGATATTTGCAAACTCTCAGAAAGCTGGACAGTTGGAATGGTTTCCTAAACAGCTATCTATTAGGCTACACAAAACTTGGTTTTTCTTTCCATATGTTACACATCATGAGAATTACACAAATCTATGACAGGGACAAAAGTGTTCCTGGACCACTGGAGGGAAGAGCCTGGGAACTGAGGATTCCAGGAGACCCGTCTTCCTCTTCATATTCTCCTCTTGTCCATCAGTTTAGGAGCCAGGCTAAAGCTGAGGCATCTTAAAATTTCGGAATGGGAAGGAAAAATAACATTAGCTACCCTGGAGGCTGTGGAAATAAATGCATCTGAATGCAAAGGACAGTGACTTGCAGGCTGCCTGAGATCCAATAAAAGCCTCATCAGAAGTAGCTGTCAATCACTCTAACATGTATGGCTGGTTCCAATAATTCTACCAGTCAAGATAATAAAATTTCAGAACACTAAATCAGCTCACAGCAAACCAGTTAAAAATATTTTGTGATCGCCGTGACCACCATGGTGGTCTAATACCCTGGGTTATATGTTTTAATAGAAAACACAAATGAGGCCGGGCGCGGTGGCTCACGCCTGTAATCCCAGCACTTTGGGAGGCCGAGGCGGGCGGATCACGAGGTCAGGAGATCGAGACCATCCCGGCTAAAATGGTGAAACCCCGTCTCTACTAAAAATACAAAAAATTAGCCGGGCGTGGTGGCGGGCGCCTGTAGTCCCAGCTACTCGGGAGGCTGAGGCAGGAGAATGGCGTGAACCCGGGAGGCGGAGCTTGCAGTGAGCCGAGGTCACGCCACTGCACTCCAGCCTGGGCGACAGAGCGAGATTCCGTCTCAAAAAAAAAAAAAAAAAAAAAAAAAGAAAACACAAATGATTCCATTCTTGGAAGAGTCTATCAGTTAGCACTTTGAGAAGACAGTCAGCCCTGAGTGCCCTGCCTCTCTTTCATTTCCTTTCCTAAGTACTGGAACCTCAGTCACAAAAGAAAACCAATATTTAAGTCAACAGACATACATTTAAAATTATTTCGCTGATGTGACTATGAATTTTACTTATAAAACAAGGACGTGCTGAATAGTTCACAGTATTTTTGGTGTGTTCATTTCAAGCATCTTGAACTGCTCTTTTCCTCAGCTTCCGTGTCCCAACACTGCCCAGATTTGCCCTCTCCATCTTCAACTACTTTTTTCCAGTCTCCTTTTTAGACTTGTCTGCCCTCCCCAGTTTCCAATACCTCGATACTCTCTTCTCATCTTCTCCTCCTTTTCTTCTAGGCTGTCTCATCCGTGCCCTCAATTCCCACCTCTCTACAGATGACTCAGCAACTTACCTTTAGTTTATCCTTAGTTCAGACTTCTCCTCCAAGCTCCAGACCCATCTAAAAGCCTTCATGGCCAGGTGCGATGGCTCATGCCTGTAATCACAGCACTTTGAGAGGCCGAGGTGGGCGGATCACTTGAGGTCAGGAAATCATGACCAGCCTGGCCAACATGGTGAAACCCCGCCTCTACTAAAAATACAAAAATTATCTGGGCGTGGTGGTGCATGCCTGTAATCCCAGCTACTCAGGAGGCTGAGGCAGGGGAATTGCTTGAACCCGGGAGGTGGAAGTCTCAATGCGCCAAGATCACCCAACTGCACTCCAGCCTGAGCGACAAGAGCGAAACTCTGTCTCAAATAAATAAATAAATAAAAGCCTATGTGACATTTACCCTTAAGACATTCTAAACACATCTCCAATACATCTAAAGTTGAATTCATTGTAGCCTCTCTACCACATAGTCGCCCTGGAATGCTTCTAATCTCAGTGAATGACATCACCGCCCAATTATGCAAGTCAGAAACCTAGTGATTATCTTGCTTACCTCTCTCTTAGCCTCCGCTTCTAATACATTATCAACTCTTGTCAATTTTATTTCCATCTCTGATAAGCACTACCCACATACAGGCTACCATCATCTCTCATCTGAACCACCACGGTAGGAAGATCTAGGGTACAGTTCAGAGAAAGCAATCAGGCAGGAAAACCAGTAAGTTTTATTGTTTGAGACAGGGCCTCAGTCTGTCACCCAGGCTGGAGTGCACTGGCGCAATCTCAGCTCAATGCAACCTCGACTTCCCAGGCTCAGGTGATTCTCCCACCTCAGTCTCCCAGGTAGCTGGAACCACAGGCAAGTGCCACCACATCGGGTTAATTTTTGTATTTTTTGTAGAGACGGGTTTTCACCATGTTGCCCAGGCTGGTCTCAAACTCCTGGGCTCAAGCAATTCACCCACCTCAGCCTCCCAAAGGGCTGGGGTTATAAGCATGAGCCACCGTGCTGGGCCACCAAGAAGTTTTAAGAAGGCAAATTGACTGGATTAAGAAAATGTGGCACATATACACCATGGAATACTATGCAGTCATAAAAAAGGATGAGTTCATGTCCTTTGTAGGGATGTGGATGAAGCTGGAAACCATCATTCTCAGCAAACTATTGCAAGGAAAAAAAAACAAACACCGCATGTTCTCACTCATAGGTGGGAACTGAACAATGAGAACACTTGGACACAGGAAGGGGAACATTACACACCGGGGCCTGTCATGGGGTGGGGGAAGTGGGGAGGGATAGCATTAGGAGATATACCTAATGTAAATGACGAGTTATTGGGTGCAGCACACCAACATGGCACATGTATATATATGTAACAAACCTGCACCTTGTGCACATGTATATATATGTAACAAACCTGCACCTTGTGCACATGTACCCTAGAACTTAAAGTAAAATAAAAAAAAAAAAAGAGAGAGGAAAAAAAAAAAGAAGGCAAATTGGTGGAAAAGGCATGTGGCTGACAGTGGAGAAAACAGATGAGAGCAAAACTGAAAAGGGTCCACTGGCTTCAGGAATAAAGAGGTTATTTGTGACCACGGAGAGTCATTTCAGTGGAGAAGCGTTTTTAAAAGAACGGTCAAGCCTTGTGCATTTTACCTGTCTGGAAAAAGAAAGGGAAAAGGAAAGCCGGGCCCAGTGGCTCATGCCTGTAATCCCAGCACTTTGGGAGGCCGAGGCAGGTGGATCACGAGGTCAGGAGTTCAAGACCAGCCTGACCAACATGGGAAAACCCGTCTCTACTAAAAATACAAAAATTAGCTGGGCATGGTGGCACATGCCTGTAGTCCCAGCTACTCAGGAGGCTGAGGCAGGAGGCCTGAACCTGAGAGGCGGAGGTTGCAGTGAGCCAAGATCGCAGCATAGCAACAGAGCAACAGAGTAAGACTCCGCCTCACAAAAAAAAAAAAAAAAAGAAAGAAAAAAGAAAGGGAAAAGGAAGCGACTGAAGATAGGAGAATGTGGAAAAAAATTAATGGAGCCAAGGATCCAGAGGAAGCAGAGGGGAATGCCACACAGGGCCCAGGTAGAGGGGGCACCACTGAACAGAAGAAGGGATGAAGGCATGTCTTTTTTGTTAGAGAAAAACAGAGAACATGTGTGTTGACCTCTCATTATTGAATGAATCAGAAGAAAGCATTGTCAGAAATGGAGGTGAAAACTGTTGTTACAAGAGAACAAAGTATTGGGATAGTAATTGATTAAATGAACATTTATTAAGTGCCCAGAAGCTGAGCTCTGGGAAGCCAATGGTAAACCAGAGAGAAGCTATAACGATTCACATGAAAATCCCAACTCTGCAAGGAATGAAATTTCAGCACGAGTGTTAAACTGTCAAGAATGGGAGCAGATTAAGGGGACCATGTGGAAAAAAATCTTCAAGCCCGATGACAAAAGCCTCAAAGATGCAAGCAGGCATCCTTGAGGCTGTAGGTGGTGATGAGAAGCGGGCTTCAGAGAAGGAGGAAATACTGAGTGAAGGTCAGTGGAGCGGGAAAGAGAGGCAGTGAAAATGCCATCCTGCCCAGGGGCCTCAGAGGCCAGATCTGAGGGGACATAGCAGGCTGGTCTCAAAGCCCTGTAATACAGTAATCCTATGACAAACAGGCAAAACAGCAGCCTCTGGAGCTGCATTCCATCCCAGGCCCTTACTGTCTCCCTGCTCCAGGCTCTCTGGGTGGACAGAAGACCTCCCAGGCTGTGTCCATGGGGAATGGCACCATGAGGAACACCCTGCTAGATCCTGCCTTTCCCTGCTCTCGTGGGCTGCAGGGCCGGGACTCGCAGGGAGAATTGCCAGGCTCTGATGGTAATCACCCACATGCTCAAAGTGCACGCAAGATAACTTGAAGAAAAGTCAGGCATTTTCACTCTGAGATCAGCATGCTGATGACACATGGTCTACATCTCCCCTTTTATCTCTAATCCTGACACCACAGTTTCACAACGTATTCAGCATCTGAGGAGCCTAACAGGGGACTGGGATCAAAGTGAGCCAGAAAAAGATTAATCCCGATAAGACAGAGGTTATGATGATAGCCGGGAGAAAATATTTAAAGAATGTGGGGAGCGCTCTTCTGTGTCTCTCGTAGGAACGTGTCTCTCTCCTACTTGCTGGGTCACTTCTGGCATTCCGTTGATCTCAGTGGACGTCCATGACAAGACAAGCCCAACACAAGCAGGCCTATTTATGGTTCCCAAACTCAGAGTCAGTGACAGACTAAATAGGCTCTGACTCTCGCTCTGAAATATCCGGGTGGCTGTGGCTAACCAGGGTCTTCATAAATCATGAGTTTAATTAAGGCAACAGCCAATATCCACTTTTTCTCCCCATAGAAGTTCCCCCACTGCAGTCATCAGCAAAGCAAAAAATGCTGCTTAACTTTCCCCCAGTTTCACTACTCTACAACTGTTATTACAGTATTGTTTTTTTCCCAGCCATTTTAATTAATGTTGTTTTGTGAAATTTCTTCCTGAATCTATTTCTCTGAGAAGTTTAATTTTAGAAAACCAAAGTGTCAAATGATCTAGCATTAATTACCCTATTTTTACACTTTGAAAATAGCAAACTACTAATCAATTTTTGTTTCTTCTTTATAATCAGATAGGTGTAATGATTTTTTTCCAGTAAAGCTTTTTTTGCGATTATTTGGGATACAGTATTACTATAAGCAACAAATATTAGATATTATTGTCCTTCCTTCTTATTTCATTTGAAGTATCCATAGTGGTATTTTCTCCCTACCCTGTCTCCGCCCCTATTTGGTTTGAAATCTTTTCTAACTAGACCTCTTTCAAGAAGGAAACTCTATAAAACTAAATCATCTTTTTCCTGCAAGATAACCTGAACTCTTGAAGAATCCACTTATTTGTATGACAATGTCAAAGTTTTTGCAGCATGCTAAATGTTAGACTGTAGTATTTTAGTAAGTTTCTTGCCAGCTTTTAGAAACAAAATATATTTTACTAATAATGGAAAGAATTCAATAAATTAAGCAATGAAAGGAGCAGAAGCAATAGTTTCAATATTGTAAGGGACTATAAGCAAGATTTTTGGCCGGGCGCGGTGGCTCATGCCTGTAATCCCAGTACTTTTGGGAGGGTGAGGCAGGCAGATCATTTGAGGTCAATAATTCAAGACCAGCCTGGCCAACATGGTGAAACCTCATCTTTACTAAAAATACAAAAAATTAGGCAGATATGGTGGCAGGCGCCTGTAATCCCAGCTACTCGGGAGGCTAAGACAGGAGAATCACTTGAACTCAGGAGGCGGAGGTTACAGTGAGTCGAGATCGTGCCATTGCACTCCAGCCTGGGAGACACAGCGAGACGCCGTCTCAAAAAAAGAAAAAAAAAAATACACACACACACACACACACACACACACACACACACACACATAAAGATTTTTAAAGTCTAAGAATATTCTTGGGGAGATTTTATTTTTTATATAAAGAACATTTATCTAGAAGAAAGAGCTGTTCAAAAATTATAATATCAGTCCTTTATCTCTGCCTCTGTTTTCTCTTGCTTGTTTCTGACACAGACTCAGATGTTAGTATGAATGAGTCACCGCGGTAGGTAACTGAATTAAAAAAGAGAGGGAGAAAAGGTACTTGTGTTTGTATTTTTATAAAACTTTTAATAATTTTCACAATACAGTCATCACCATTATCTAGAATTACAATAGTTAAAAGTTACAAATGAAAAGATGATTCAGTCCGTAGGCACAGGTCAGCTCTTCACTGAGCACCGACAGTCAGGGAAACATTCCTTCACTTATTTATTCACCCAATACATACTTACTGAGTGCTGTCTGCCCGTCACTGCCCCAGGTCCTAAGAGACTCATCTCGGAACAAAAAGGCTCTGCCCTAATAGAGCACCCCTGCTAGTGAAGGATTCCGATCAAAAGGGAGTGAACACAAGAATTTCAGAGGGTGATGAGGACACACAGCAGAGTAAGGGCATAGAGGCTGGGTGGATAGGGCAGGTTCCCCTGGGCGTTGCATTTGGCCTGAGATCCAAAAGATGATAAGGAATCAGCCATGGGGGAAAACGTTCTGGTCAGAGAGAAGAATAATTACAAAGGCCTTGGGGAAGGAATGAGCTTTATTTGTTTTAGTTCTTAAAGCTCTTCCTCCATGACTCAGTTGTTGGAAAACTTTTGGGAAGTCATTTTGATAGACAGTTGCAGTATGGCTGGAGGAGGATCCAGGCTTCCGACGACCCCAGACTCACATATCCTGAGGCTAAAGCAGCCAAGACACGAGGAAGGGAAGGGCATTATTTATGAGACCCTGAGACTGTTTCTTCACCCTGACATTCATTCACTCCTTCATTTATTCATTGTCTCATCTTATTTAAAAGTAACACTGTCAACCAAGCCACCTGTAGTCTTAGTGTATGGAAAACAAAAAAGAAACCTATATATTTTGGTTGTGGTAGCTATTATTTCTAGACATATTTGCCATTTCTTGGCCTAAATATCATAGGCTGGACTTGAAAATTTTCCAAAATTCCTTTGGGATTCTTTTACAGGTCCACAATCTCTTATATGTATCCTAAAACCCAGAAAGCAGAAAGCAATAAAAACAGAATGAAGAAAATATATTTGGTGACAAAACTTAACCTGTACTGACTTATCCTCTTTATCTCCATAAGTTTGAATATTCATGAGTTTTATGGAAGAAATGTTAACATGTTTAATTGCCAGGTATGGCCTCAGACTTAACTTTGCTGTGTAACAGACAATACGGCCACGACATTACTTTTCTAAGACCCCAAAAGATCCAGAATTCCGAATGAATTTTGGCTAAAGGATGCTATAAGAATCTCTAGACTTGAACTCCTGACCTCAGGTGATCTGCCCGCCTCGGCCTCTCAAAGTGCTGGGATTACAGACGTAGCCAGGCATGATGGGTGCCTGTAGTCTCAGCTACATGGGAGGCTGAAGCGGGAGAACTGCTTGAACCCAGGAGGCAGAAGTTACAGTGAGCCGAGATAGCACCATTGCACCCCAGCCTAGGCGACAGAGTGAGACTCCGTTTCAAAAAAAAGAAAACAGAATGTCTGGGTTTAAAGGAATATAAATCATTCTGTTATAAAGATACATGCATATGTATGTTTACTGCAGCACTATTCACAATAGCAAAGACATGGAATCAACCTAAATGCCCATCAATGACAGACTGGATAAAGAAAATGTGGTACGTATACACCATGGAATACTACGCACCCATAAAAAGGAACGAGATCATGTCCTTTGCAGGAACATGGATGGAGCTGGACGCCACTATCCTCAGCAAACTAACACAGGAACAAAAAACCAAACACTGCCTGTTCTCACTTATAAGGGGGAGCTGAACAATGAGAACACATGGACACAAGGATTTTCAGGTCAGGAACAACACACATGGGGACTTGTTGCAGGAGGACAAGGAGGAGAGCATCAGGAAAAATAGCTAATGTATGCCAGGCTTAATACCTAGGTGATGGCTTGATAGGTGCAGCAAACCACCAGGGCACACATTTATCTATGTACCAAAACTGCATGTCCTGCATGTGTATCCCAGAACTTAAAGTAAAATAAAAAGCATCTCTGGGTTTAATATTGCATACAGAATACACAGCAAATCTCAGTGGGGTCTGCTACCACTGTATTTACAACTATTAAAATTATACTGCTTCATGTTTTGAGGTTTAGGCTTGTTCACAGATTCACACTCTTCTGAACCTTATGTTTTACTTCATCAAGAAAAGTTTCTTAATTCACATACCAGAGTAACCTTGTTGAAATATTTTCACATACATATTATTTAACATACATTTTCCGTATACATTTCCCATTAAATTATTTAACGTCTACACTGGGAAAAACAAGTTTGTATGGTCCACTACAAAATCATGTGAAATAGAAGTAATTGCCCAGGGATGAGCATATCATGAAAGGAAATCAGGCATTTCACACAGCTGAAGTAACTGTTTATAAGAATTAATGTCCATATTATGAATAGGCAGATGGTCTATTTAACCAAACATGTTCTAGTTTGTCATTTCTTATCAACCACACTGATGCAGGAGTGATGAGAGTAACTGCAGGCGTATTTGCAGAAAGCTGTCTATCAGGAGGCATTCTTTAAACTTGTTATTTCAGAAGTATTAACTGCAGAAATATGATGTCTTATTCAGTGTAAAGCACAAAGCTCAGGATAATTATATATTACTTGTTTAGTTATCTTTAAACAACAGCTAAAAATCTCAGGAAATTTTTGCTCTTGGGGGAAACAGTGTGTAACATGTTGAAGCTTTTGGTTGGTTAGACCTGCATTTAAAGGGACTCTGCTCCCGTTTCTTCCTTCACTATCCTCCCAAACAATCCTTCCTTCAGATTTCTCAATACAGTGAGCCAAGGCAAATGTGAATCTGGTCATGTCACTTGCCTGTATCAAACCTTTCAATGCTTCTCTTTGCCCTTGGGATAAAGTTCCCCTAAACAGTAAGCTCCAAGAGGACAGGGGATTTTTTAGACTGCTTTGTTCACTGCTCTAGCCTCAGTGACTACAGCAGTGCTTACACATGGTAGGTGCTCAACAATTCTTTCCTAAATGGTTCACTGCCTGAATGAACACAAGCACAGATAAAGCTCCTACCTCCTTCCTAACGCCAGGGTTTTTGTATCTCATTGGGTCAAGTGCTCAGCATGTTTGCTTGTGAGAGATGGCTCGTGTGTGTGTGCAGTAGTTCCAGCTTGTGAGAGATGGCTCCCGTGTGGTCGTGTGTAGTAGTTCCAGCTTGTGAGAGATGGCTCCCGTGTGTATGTGTGTAGTAGTTCCAGCTTGTGAGAGATGGCTCCCGTGTGTACATGTGTAGTAGTTCCAGCTTGCTGTTTGCTCTCTGCTATTCTTACTCTAAATCTTGGAGCACACCGAGGCCAGTTCTGCTACTCTTTAGAAACTGCAGAATTGGTGCATGGAAGAATCACAAGACAACATCTGTCTTTACTAACACTGGAGATTGCACGCTACAGTCTTCCTGAAGAACCACCGCCTGGGAAGGTAGATTTTTGCTGCAAGTTCCACAGAAAGACCACGCCTAACCACATATATTTTGAGATATCTGAGATCACAGACTTGGAGAACATTTTTAACCTATTAATATTTTTTTCCTATGATGCCCACATGCTTTCAATCCAGAATCACTACTGTGCCCCCAAGGCATTTCAGAGCTATAAGAAGCACAAGTGTTTGGCATCCCAACAACTATGTTTCCTGCCCACAGGAATACTCAGAATATGAGGGCCACTGGCTTCCAGTGAGGTCCAAAGATGGCGGGGCAGAGTGGGGGAATACTGAGGAGTGGTTTTTTTGTATTGGCCAGTGAAGCACCTCACTGCCTCTATGTGTGTGCCCTGACTGACTCAGCTTTGATGACAGTGACCTCTTGGTCTAAAATGTCCTTCCCAGGCCTGTTTTCCATGCACCCTTTAAAATGCAGCCCAGGCTCATTTCACCTCCTCCAGGGAGTCTCCCCTATCCCATCTTCCCGCAAGTTAGCTTCTCCTGTGGTTTCCATAACATTCGGTATATCTCTATCAGTACACTTACTAGACTGTATTAAAGTCTACCTGCGCCTGTCTCACTCACATTCTTGAGAATAACGACTGTGTTTTCTTTCATTTTTTTTTCTTCTTTCTTTTCTTTTGAAAGGGAATCTTGCTCTGTCACCCAGGCTGGAGTGCAGTGGTGCAATCTCGGCTCACTGCAACCTCCGCCTCCTAGGTTCAAGTGATTCTCCTGCCTCAGCCTCCCGAGTAGCTGGGATTACAGGGGCCTGCCACCACGCCCGGCTAATTTTTGTATTTTAGTAGAGATGTTGTTTCACTATGTAGGTCAAGCTGGTCTTGAACTCCTGACCTCAAATGATCCACCCACCTTGGCCCCTCAAAGTGCTGGGATTACAGGCGTGAGCCACTGCACAGGGCTGTGTTTTATTTCTATTTCTAACTGTAGCATTTAACACAGTATTTCACACATAGTAGGTTTGTTGAGGTGAATATTCTTGCTGAATTTAGCTCCCATGCAAATAATTACTAGCAGTAGGTGTGGGGCAGGAGGTAGCACCGTGATTAAGGAGAGAACCGTGCTCTGTACGACTATTCCCTCAGAACACAGGGGCCACTCGCTCTGTGGATGAACGAACTTTTGTGGATAGTAAGCCTGTATTCTCACCTCTAAGACAGAGGTTAGAGAGAGAGAGAGACTGACAATCCAAGGGTTGTTAACGTGGAAAGAACTGACAGGTGCCATGAGGGAGCCAGGCTTTCACGGTGAACTTGGAGGTTTCTGCATTTGTCAGACACCCTAAACCCCTAAACCAGCTCTGCTCCTATGGCTACTAAGGCCGATAAAGGAATCAACCACTCGTGTCACAACTCCCCAAGTTGAAACACAGTAATAACAAAAATCAGACGCCTGGAAAGCTGGAAAAGCCGAAAGGCGTAAAGAGTGACTTAACCAAGAGAAAACCATCCCAGATAGTTGGAGCAAAAGCCTATGCCTACATCCAAGAGAATCCGAGGGATTTCTACCAGATGTTGCATATCTGCAGTTTCCTCTGAAGTGAAAGAGAACAGTCCCTTCTAAAGTGATTCCTTTTTTTGTTCAATGGGAAAAAACTGGAAATATCTTGTCACCTAGGACATTGTCCTTTGGTAAAAGAATTTACCCAAAGTTGGGAAGATAGTGCTGGCATATCTGCTTGACGATAAGCTGTAACAGTGACCACGTGTCAAATATACAGCAAGAAAATAAATGAAATATATGCTAGAGAAAGAATCCAAACTTCTGTGAATTTTAAGTGGTTTCCAGAATGTCCTCTTCCATAAGCAGCATACAGTTTTGTAAGTGTATGGTGCTGCCAAAAAAGTATTAAATGCAGGCAAGCCACAACTTACGAACAGGTTGCATTTCAGAAATTTGTTTTGAGGCAGTCTTGTAGGAATTTGGAATGCACATTTCCCACTGAAATTGTAGCATACGTCGGTCAGGTTCCCAAGTCAAATTAACCCCTAATGCACACAGGGTGGTTTGCCTGGCAGGCCAGGAGCCGCCACCATGCAGAACAGTGCCAGTGTGGGATCATGTGTGGACGTCTATCCAGGATAGATGCCTGGAAGTCTTACTTTCTCCTGTGAGAAATTAGTGGGAGGCATCCGGGAATTTCTGTCATTCCCTCACCGCTGTTTGGGGCTCTCCGGCTCCTGTTTGGCTGAGCACGGAAGGTGGGAACATCTCTGGCTTCAGGTCCCTGGAGCGGCTTCTGGGTGATCTGGAAGCCTGGAGACCCCTCTCCTGTGCACTTCTGAGGCTGTCATGTCTACAAGAGTCTCCCCTTATCCTCAGTTTCACTTTTTGTGGTTTCAATTACCCAAGGTCAACCATGGTCCAAAGACGTTAAATGGAAAATTCCAGAAATAAAAAATCTGTAAGTTTAAAGTTGCGTGCTGCTCTGAGTGGTGTGATGAAATCTCATGCTATCCTGCTCCATCGGGCCAGGAATGTGAATCCTCCTTTTGTCCAGCATATCCATGCCATATAAGCTACCCACCCATTACAGTATAGGAAAACACATGGTGTGTATGGGGTTTGGTACTATCCAGGGCTTCAGGCATCTGCTGGAAGTCCTGGAACACATACCCCCAGAGAAGGGGGGAATTCATGTATATATGTCTTTTTTTTTTGGATGGACTCTCACTCTGTTGCCAGGCTGGAGTGCAGTGGCGCGATCTCCGCTCACTGCAACCTTGGTCTCCGAGTTCAAGTGATTCTCCTGCCTCAGCCTCCCACCACACCCAGCTAATTTTCGTATTTTTAGTAGACATGGGGTTTCGCCATGTTGGCCAGGATGGTCTCCATCTCTTGACCTTGTAATCCGCCCACCTTGGCCTCCCCAAGTGCTGGGATTACAGGTGTGAGCCAACGCGTTTGTCCGTATATATGTCTTTAATGTCTGGACAATCACCAGTTTGTTAGGTGTACATAATAGGTATACAACAGACATTTTGCTAAAGTTCCCATATATCTGATCTGATAATAGGGGTAGCAAGTGCTCCAGTACCTCTTCCCTTTCCTCCTTAATCTTTCCTCGGCTGAAATGAAGGAGAGGATTCTTTCCAGGACCAACACGGTGGCCAAGTGAGAAGTGAGAGTTACGGCCCTGAATAAAAGTGAAATCCGAGCCCTTTCAGCCAGAAGGACAGAGGAGTGAAGACGCCAGTTCCCGGAATAGACATTTGTATATACGCTACCAACAATTAATTTTTCCAAAGACCTCAAAACAAGATAAAACAAAACAGCTAGAGATGCCTGTAGTATGGGGAACGGGACTCCTGAATTGGAAGTGTTTAATTGTACCTCTAGTTAGCAGGAAGTTTAGGCAAATGATTTTCAATGCATATCACAGGCACATACAAAAAATATGCAAACCAGGCAGGACTCCAGCCAACTTAATTTCAGGTGCTTTCCAGCCATTATTTTCCCTTCTGCAGATTCATCTCACACCCAGATCTTTAGAAATGGCTGGCAGAGACTGCATGCCACTCTATAATTCTTTGGGAGTCTGCTGGTTCCTTAACCTCGGGTGCATCCCAGGCTCGGAATGTCAGGGATGTACAAGCATGCCAGCTGTTCCAGAGTCCAGCCTGGTACCAAGAGCATGATGTTGTTGGCAGTCATCAGCTGCATGTTACTGCTATTCTAGGAGAGGAGGCACTCCTGAAACAGCTGAGAGGACCTCATGGGGCGAGAGGCAGGAACATTCCTGCCCTGGGCATCACCCTTTGGCCAGAACCTTCTACTGCTGGCCAGGGTTCTCTGCACTTTTTAAGGTCATAAGCAGCTGCCCGTGAAATATAAAGCTGAGCAAATGGGCACGGAGGCAGAGAGTTTAGTGTACTCAAGCAAGACTTATCACAAAGCTGGCTGGCCCATATTTATAATAACAGACATAATTATGCATGCTAGAAGAGGCTGTGGGCCAAAGATAAATACCTCTACGCGTTCCTTTTTTTTGTTCTCCTGGGGTTATCTAAGTTGACAATCAAAGCTAATCTGACTCAACTGCAGCTCCCAAGACCAGTACTTTTTGGTCTGGTAGGACTTGGTCAGAATGAGTCAGGCACCCTCCTCGGGAATAGCTTAGACCCCCTCGAACATTCAGAGATACCAAGGAAAACAAAGAAAGAGGATGGAGGTTGGGGAACTAGAATCAGAAAAACATTTCTGGAATTTTCTGGGAACAAAGATGTAGAACAAGAAAAAATAGGAAGCTCTTCAGAGGTTCTTCTGACCCTGGAACACAAGGAGGCCCCGGTAGTCAACCTTCCCCTCCTTCCAGCATACAACAAGCTTGGGCCTGGGAGCTGGGAGCCACTGAGTGTTAGAGACCCTCAGGTCTGGCCCAGGAGAGACACTTGTTGGTCAGGAGAATTATGAGGCAGGGCTGCACCCACTCCGTTGCTGGGGAAACCTGCCTCTTCGTGTGCTGTAATTATCGGAGAACAGGAGGTAGAAGGGGGATATATATATATATATATATATATATATATATATATATATATATAGTTTGAGAAACTGTATTTAATATAGCTATTGTTTTCATAACACAAAATTTAAAAATTAAAAGAATACAAACTCCAGAAAATAAAGCTCAGAAATATTTCCCCATCTGATGGGGATAGGTGGGATGGGAAAGCCTTTGCTGAAGAAGGTAGGACACCCTGCTTTGCGTAGGAAGGGTGCAGATGGGGAGGTTAAAGCTGTGAATAAATAGAGGGATGCTCGGCACAGACCATCTTTCCTTCCTGGAACGCCAGCGCTGTGACAGCAGTGACTGTCTGTTTTGGTCACTGCTCTATTGCAAGCACCTAGAAAAGAGTTTACAACACAGTACGTATTCCAACAAATATTCTCCTAATCAAGAGGTTCGCCAGGGTTCAGAAGGAAGTGCTGTGGAGGATGGAGGAAACGTCACGTCCCCATCCTAGTGCACGTGCTGAGTAGCTAGAGGTAATAGGAAAGGACTCAGAAGCATGGTCCCTGAGGTCTCTTCTGACCTAAGACTTGCTAGAATGCTCTGCGAGCCTAGGTGTGAGGAGCCTGGTGGAAGACGTGTGCAGGGACATTTTGCGCTTCATGGGGCTTCGCTTGGGGCTGGAGCCATGCCCCTGAACAGTAGTTATTTAGAGATCAGGTACACTGTGTTCTTCACCTCAGTCTCTGGGAAGATTTTTTTTTTTTTTTTTTTTTAGTAGCATCAAGCAAGCAGCGGACATGAAATTTCTCTGTCTGCTTATATCTAATTAACGTTCAGTGAGTCTCTGGCTACTTAAAATAGGGAAATAATGCATATTTATTCACACATGCTTTGAGATCTGCAGATAAAAATGCTGTATTACTACCAACCACAATGAATACACATACTTTAAATATAATTATCAATTACCAGCTACCACCTGTTGAGATAACTAACGACAGTGCCTTTAAACACCATCCTTCCAAATTTTAGAATTGGAAACATTCTTCAATGTTATGTACACTGTATTCAACCAATTCATTAAGGAAATTCTTTGTTACTCTTATTATGATTTATGTTATCACAAGAGAAATGGAAATTAAGCTCTATGAGTTACTAAAATGCCTGAGGACCTGTAGTTGGGGTTTGATCTTCTTACAAAGTCATCTTTTGAAACTCTTTTAAGACAGGCTTAATTATATATACATATATGTGTGTGTGTGTGTATATATATATATACACATATATATACACACATACACACGCACACACAGTCTAAGGTCATATTGCTGCATTTTGAAAACAAAATTTTGCTCTCTTGGTAAATCAAATATTAAATGGTTAAAATGCATAGCAAGTGAGATGCATTTTTACAAATACAAAGTCCCTTGTGCAAATCAGTTCATAAACCATGCATAAATAGAAGGTATTATGTTACTCTTTCCCCACTCGGGACCACAGATTGCAGCTAAAACCGTAAGACTCTGCTTATAGATGAGCAATTATTACGGGGTTTTTATTCTTCAAAAGCTATTAACATTTTTATAGCATAAGCAAAGTTATTACAAACAACCTCTAAAATGTGAAGAATGATTTTCCTGAAACTCCTCCCAAGTCCTCGCCTCAACATAAGGCAGTATATTTGTTTACTGAAAAGAAAAAAAATAGTAAGTAGGTTAAAGCTGAAATGAAAATGCTGCTGGTGTAAAGTCAAGAAAGTTTGAATGAAATTCCATCGAGCTGTTCTCAACGGCATATTTTCTGAAGTGCAAGGAAACAAAATACAAAGCAAATATATTTGGGTGTTTAAGTCATCATTAACAATATTAGAAACTTATTTACACGGGGCTGTCAGTGTCATCCACCAGCCCAACCTGGGTGTAGCTTGGCAGTGACTTCTGAGACATGCCCCATGACAGTAGGACTGCACAAAACTTCAGGCTTCTAAACCACAAAGGAAAAGATGTCAGTACCTTTGTGCTGAAGTCTACAATGGCATTTTACACAGTCCTTTTAGTCATTATACAAAAATCCATCATTTGACAGAATAAAACAAAGATAGAAATCCTACCATAATGCTAGGAGTGAAGGATGAATTTCTGAAATCAGCTCCTGTCCCTCAAAAGCTTGATGGTTCATCCTAAAAAAATAACTGTGAATATAAAAATACATTTTCTCCGCATTCTTAACGAACTTTCTTGATGCTATGTTGTCACGAAATGAAGAGACACCTGATAACTAGATAATTTATCTATGTAAGACACCAATTAGCAGTGACAAGACTGACTTCATGTGTCATGCTCCTCTTTGAACCGGTAGACCCTAGCATGAAGCTTGAACAGGCACCAGGAGAGAAATCAATAGGGTGGGATGTGAAGGGAAAATACCTATTTTTAATGACTCAGTTGTCCAATTTCCAACATGCAACCTTGGAGTTGCAAATTTTAGAGCTGGGAGGGATTACATATACACACACACACACACACACACACACACACACACATTACATTACATTATATATATTTAAGGTATATAACATGATGTTATGAGACACATATAGATAGTAAAATGGTTACTATAGAGAAGCTAAAGTATCCATCATCTCACAGTCTTTTATTTTGTGGCAAGAACAGCTAAAATCTACTCACTTAGCAAAAATCCCCACCACAATACAACATTATTAACTGTGGTCCTCGGATTGCACATTAGATCTCAAGAGTGTTCATCCTATATATGTGCTACTTTGTATCCTTAGACCCACATCTCTCCATTTCCTCCTCCTGCCCCAACCCGCTCCTGGTTACCACTATTTTATTCTCAATCTCTGTATATTTGACTTAAAAACACTCCAAATATGAGGGAGGTCATGCAATAGCATAAGTTCACTTACATTTTATTGCTAAGAAATGTAAATGGAGTGCTGAAACGTAAAGTGACTTGCTCCAAGTCAGCGGGTCCCTCTCTGCCGCTCCACCCATTCTCATGAAATACTGAGATATTCACCTTACCCTTAGTATGCGTTCCTTTAAAGGAAATTTCAAAAGCCCTGAACCTCAGGGCTAATATAACCAGAAAAAGTAGATTCTAAAGTGTTGAAAAGGAATTTTCTGCTGGGACAGGAGTGGTTTGGATGCATGACTAGAATCTTCTTTGCCCGGAAGCCACTGAAAAAAGGAATATTTTGAAATGACAACAAGGTTGAAAAGGAAAAAAAAAAAAAAAAAGCCCTGCACATCTACACGAAGAAAAAAATTAGACTAAAGCGAGGCTTCTTAGTAGCTAGTTTCATTGTTTCTCACTCATACACTGTAAACCATGTGCTGAGAGTAAAAACTGGAGAGACCACTGACGCCTACGGTTTGGGAAAGATCACGGAACTCTCAGTATGTGGCTAATAATGATGGCCATGCAGCCATTCCACCGACAGTGGACACTGGCCAATAAGAGGTAATCGTGGAATCAGGGACAGGCTTGAGGCCTTGAATACCCCGGCATGGGACCCAGGAAGTCACAGGGACCCTATGGCTACATGACTGTGGGTGAAGCTCCAGGGTCCAGGACAATGTGGACCTCCACTTAAGCACTGGGGAGGAACAGCTCTGAGAAATTAATGGGGAAGCCAGGCAAGCAGTACTGCACTGTCCACTCTCTGAGGTCACTGGACAGAAATGAAGCTTATCAAATACAGAGTGTGAAACTTGAAAGAAAAAGCCATTGTGCCTTGATTCCATGGAAAGGAGTGTCTACTGCTTGAGCTGTCTTATATAGTAACTGAATTTACAAATTCAAAGAGATAGAGGTTGCTGGATGATAAAAGGAGAGCAGCAGCAGGAGTTACGGCAGAAAGGATGAGTTAAGACAGACAGCTTTAAACTGCCATTAAGTAACTGCAGGAAGATCCTAGGCACTGTTGCAGCTCTACCATTTTTGAGAGATGCATGATGACCAAAGACCATACCCAGTCATACTATATGTATGGGTCAGGTGAATATCTCAGTATTTCATGAGAATAGGTGGAGTGGCAGAGAGGGACCCACTGACTTGGAGCAAGTCACTTTATGTTTCAGCACTGCATTTACATGTCTTATCAATAAAATGAAAGTGAACTTATGCTATTGCATGACCTCCCTAACATTTGGAGTAATGACTGGGTATGGTCTTTGCTATAGATAGAGCAAAGCAGCATGGGTCCAAGGTGGAGGGAGGCTCTGCTCCATAGAAAAGGCTGGAGACTCAGCCACTCCATCCTGTAGACACCAAGAGGAGCTTGATGATTTTCATAATCCACAGCTGCATTTTATGTAACGCAGTTACTTACATATATATATGCTCATCATCAGCTTGATTCTAGTTTATTTTAGTGTTATTTTAGTTTTTCTCAATTAATATCTTTATTCGTGATGAACCAAGTTAAAGAAGCCTATTTGGGCATTGTTGAAATAGAAACTCATTACATTCCATTAGTCATCTTTCTTGTCCAATTTTGGTGCCTAGATTGAGGCAATCAAGAATAAATAGATCACTTGCCCTTGGACTCCTGTCTGCTTCAAGGGCTAGCTCTGCGTGCATTCATTCACTCTTAGCACAGTCTCCTAGGAATCCAGCCTCTTCTTTTTTTCTCTTTCCTTTAATGGGCTGCCACTTTCTCTACTTCTCCAATTTCCTTTCTCTCAGCCTGGCTAAGGAGTAGGACACCCCACCCAGCTTTTCGGTCTTTGCTGTGCCTGAAAATAGGCACGCAGGCCTTTTTCATTTACAGATTAAAATCTCCAACAAGGAAATGGATGGAATAAGAAAACTCACAAACAAGGAACAGTGATCAACGTTCTAGCTATATTATAAAATACTCAGGGTAATTGCCCTTGGTCTGTATTTCCCGATGGTTCCTTACTTGGATGATATTTCAAGGTCTCCATTAAAAGGTGCCTGTTGCTGAGCTGAGCTGCTTAAGGGTATGATGTTGGATTAAAAAGCTGCCACTGCTGCTAGATTGGATCAAATTCTGAGCCCCGTGAGACCCCGGTCTAACCTTCACTCCAGGCATGGCCCACTGCTTTGTCAGACTCCAGGCTATCTTAGATAAGAAAGCCACTTTCTTCCCTGACTCTTGAAGCTTTTTCCTTTGGGCTCCAAGCAACTCTTCCTTGATTTTGGAGACATCTCCCGTGTCCCTGGTTGGCCCTTTGAAATCTCACCATTATCTGCAGTTCCTCTTTCCCTCAACGAACCTCAAGGCTCCTCCCGTGGGCCTCAGATCATTTTGTGTTCATCTCCCGCTGTCGTCAGTCACTTCCCCATGGTTCCAGCTCTGAGAGGTCCTAACCATTCCACATGCCACAACCCCAGTTTCCTATGTACCACAGAATTCACCACTGAAAAGATCAGGTGCCAGGTAATAGGCTCTGTTTTGCCCATCGGACTGTGCAAACATCGGGGCCACTTCAGTTTGAAAGCAAAATCCCCAAGGGCCCCAGGCCTCCAGCTAACATCCCAGCATCCAGAGACCAGGCTCCAACTCATCTCTCTAGGTCACTGATATTTTCCATGTTTAGATGAATCCTGATAAGATCTCTTCTCAGGGATGACTGTGAAACTTAACTGCTAGATATATCCTGAGACCCAAAACAACAATAATTGCTGCCGTATATTGAGTACTCAAACATGTTACAACAGGCATTGGGCTACAGGCTTTTCAGAGTTTGTTTCATTTAATCCACAAAAGAAACCTATCAGACGAGTATTTTCAACACCACCTTCTGATGAAAAAAAGCCAGGATAGGGGGTGAAATAACTTGCCATGGTCTCAAAACTGGTAAAGATGTCTGACTGAGCCAGGGAGCGGTGGCTCCTGCCTGTAGTCCCAGCACTTTGGGAGGCCAAGGTGGGCAGATCACGAGATCAGGAGTTCGAGACCAGCCTGACCAACATGGTGAAACCCCGTCACTAAAAATACAAAAATTAGCCAGGTGTGGCGGCGCGTGACTGTAATCCCAGCCACTCAGGAGGCTGAGGCAGGAGAATTGCTTGAACCTGGGAGGCGGAGTTTACAGTGAGCCGAAATCGTGCCACTGCACTCCAGCCAGGGTGATAGAGCGAGACTCCACTTCAAAAAAAAAAAAAAAAAGATATCTGACTGAAAAGTTCATGTTTTCAACCTGCATACTCCATTGCCTTACTGCAGAAATAACTAAGCTTGGCATGACAGGGCCTATTATGGGCTGTGCACACTTCCCCTAACAATCCTCTCCCTACCTCACCTGGGGCCAGACTGTGGTTTGTTTTTATGTCCAATTTTGCAATGCAAAAATAAGTTAAATATACGTTTTAAATAACAATAATTTTGAAATTTAAGAAAGATTTCTGTAAAATTCAATTTACACAGTTTTCGCCTTTGAAAGCAGAGGATTATTGCACTGGGAGGATTACCTTTGACAGAGTCGGCTAGGCTACAAGGTACACAAACAACTGTTACCCAATACATGCCAGGAAAAGAATTTTCTCCCATTTGAGAATTCCAGCCAGAAATATAGGGCCTAGCTACTCTCCCTGGTAAAATTAGCAAAGCCAGGATTTCCTTTTCCATACGTTGTCTAATTTTGTCACTTTTATTCTTATTCAGGAGACTGTTCAGCAAGAATAAGAACGGATACACTAATTAAAGGACCTCATGTGCCCATCAGAAATAAAAATCTTGAGAAATGATTGCCTCATTTTTCAATTAAAATATTAAGGAAATTTATCCGAAGATACTTAAAATCTTTTAGAAAGCAGTTTGATTTATGATTCGATAATATATATTGTGGGGTACATAAAATAAGCCACACCATAATCATTTTTCAGAAATTCAAGTTTTGGATTCTGAAAGAGGATAATCTTGGAAGGACGTTTTCACCATCTTTCTTCCATTGCCTCTGGTCAAATACAGTCACAACAGATCACTTTAATTGGACTGAAACTATCTGCTGGACAGGCCACTGCTTTTAGTCACACACGGAGGGCAATCCTTTAGCTGCCAAGTGGTAGATAGAAGTACTAATAATTTACCAGTCAATTCCATTCCTTTTTTTTTTTTTTTTTTGCCAATCTATCTCCATTTGCAGCAGTGTTCTATGATTATATTCATACACGCAAATGCCCAAACACACACACTCAATATTACAGAAACATCTAGTGCAAAGATCAACTATGAAGATTTAATCATGGCACTTAATGTCTCTGAGCCTCAGTTTTCTCATTTATATAAAGGAGATAACACTGTTTTCTTCAAAGGGCTTTTCATTTTTAGGAGCAAATGAGGTCACATTAGGTGTGTTAAAACATGTTATAAACTGTAAGGTGTAAGCATGTAATCAACCAAATACATTTATTCATATTATTATCAACTGATTTCCCTGCTGCTTTCTATGCCAGCATAGGCCGAATGGTTCTTGTCACTTTTAGCAAATGGTAGAAACCCCCTCATAAAAAAAAAATGTTATTAAAAGTGGTATATAATTTTGAAATCTCTAACATTTTTGTTGTATATGAAATCCAGTACTGATTTTATGTATACATTGTCTTTCTTGCCCAAATCAATTCTGAGGAGAAAATATGTGATTCACTGCAGCAGATGAGGTAGGAGTAGACAGATACATATTTATGCAAGAGAAGGGATATGAATGATGATTAACTTGTTTTTACCAAAACAAGGAAAGTAAGGAAGGTATTATATTCTTTCCACCTCATTTTCCCCTACCATAGTTTCTTCTCTCTTTTTCTTTCTTCTCTTTCTCTCATTCTTATTGACAAGCTGCTGAATGCATGGAGAGAGTGCTCAGAATGTCAAAACCTGCTTCCTATTTGTGCAGACCAAGACCAAACTGTTCTTGTAAAACCAGTCAGGTGAGGTCCAGAAGATAAACCATGCTTGACTCTCTCCAAAGGATGGCTGGATTCAGAGGCTCTCTTAGGGACGAGCTTGTCTTACAACGGGATAGGACAAGAGAAGGCCCCTTAACTGTGACTGGCAGCAAACTCAAATTCATGTTTCATTTCAGGAACTTTCTCCAGAGCAGACAAAGAACTGCAGAAGGCCCTCCTCCCATCCCACTGTAAATTAAAATGTACTAATAAAAAAGAATAAATCACTAAAAGTTAGACAGAAAAATGGAAAAAGCAGAAAGAAGAGAGGTTCTGAATAAATGTAAAATATGGCCCTGAAATGGAAAGCCAGCTTATGATGATGCACGATTTCTTGTTTTCTCTTCAGAGGAAAGAAAACCACTTTGCAACGATAAACTACTAACCAAGGTACAATCCCATCTCCTGTACTCTGTGTTCACGATGTGTATTAACACATTTCCTCCTATATTTTCAAACAGATAAGCCTGGAAAAAGGAAGAACAAACCAAGAAGCTAAAGGCACATGGCCACATGCAAGCACACACAGAATCACTGACCAGTTTGCTTGGATCTGAATTTTGCTGTTGGTTTGGAATGTGAGCAGGAAGGAGTTAAGCGAGATTTGTTGATAGCATATGTGCAGATAATTTTCTACATTTCAATGAGTTTTGAAGACCTCCACGCTTCACTGACTATTGTTAAAAACATACTGAATTGGTTATGACAACCTGCGGGTTGGTTTACACCACAGTCTAAAAATTGGGAAATTCAGTTTAGAAATTTGATCAATATTCATACCATCTCACATCATAATTCAATTGGCAAAAATGCAGTAGAAAACTCCCCGGGGCAATCCTGAAGAACAACTTACATTCTAGTGGTTTAACATGTGTAAACCTCCTGCCTGGAATCGCTGATGGAGGTTGATGGAAGCCTTGAACTTTAACAAGGACTTCCAGGTGTTTTGATTGAGGGGTTAACTGTGACAGAAGAGAAATGATCAAATTAAGATGAATATGTCAAGGCAAAAACTCAAGATGCTTTTTTTTAAACTCTCCACAAGAACTCTCCCCAAAAAGCATAAAGAACTGTCAAAATAGGATCTTGCTTAAAATGCAAAAGGTATTTTCAAAGAGAGGATGACATTTGCATACAATATGTGCCGAAGACTGATGATACGCTGAAAATGTCTTATTTGTAGATTGGGTCTATATGACATCAAATGCCAGGATTTTTTAAAAGGATTTAAAATTTCAGATTGAAAAATATTTATTGATGTCTTCCTCTGATTAATTTAAACATCTGAATATTAGCAAATGTCTGAATTTAGAACTTACATAAAGGATCGTGATTTCTGAAAATGGATGGTATATATATTGAAAGGCAGCTGAACATGTATTAGTTAATTATACAAGACTACATTTAAAGGATGGAAACTAATATAGTTTCAAGTGTTAGGCTGCCAGCATCATCATGATTTCAGCTCTGGTATTTTTATTCTAGAATGTTCTCCCATGTGGCCCACCACGAGATTTTGGGTAGTGGCCACTTTATACCAATTCCTAGATTATCTCTTCATTTTGGGACAGCAACACAGTGCTAAAGCCACTCTTCTAAGGCTCAGTTTCAATAAAGTTTCTGGTCTTTACAAAATAAATGTCAAGGCAAATCCTTAAAAAGATCAAATATTCTAATATTACTCACCTGATTCTCTAGGCTTAAAAACGGCTAACTTTTATAGCAGGGGGCCTCTAAAGAGCAAATCGCTTGTTTATCACATGTAACAAAGGCACGGTGTCTTTTTCCTCCTTATTTTGATAAAATCAGCACAAGTGAAATCAAGAACTGTTTCAAAATGTTAACATTTTTCTGCAGCAGTGTAACTGCATTTGAGCTAAGGTACTTAAGCACACACACAGAACAACCATGCTTTTCATCGAGAATTTTAAATAACTTGACATACATAAATCTTCATTATTTCTGATTAAGCGAAGGGGTAAAACAAAACTCTGCTAAAAGATATGTAGATATCTTAGTTTCGTATGCTGGGGCTTAAGACTTCTTCTAAATAACACTTACAATAATCTCTCCAGAAGAAAAATATTCTTTCTATGATGGCCTTCACAGAGCTGTTGATTATTATTTAATATTACACAGGATTAATTACCAGTTATTAAAGGGGAACTAAAAAAGGGAAAAACTATGGTCTTAGTAAACACATAAATGTACACTGTACATGGGCTAGTTCTTAGGTAATTATACAATACCATGTAATGTAATCATAAGACTACAATTTTTACCTAAACTTTCCATCCATAAGAAAATACTACTACCTGTTCATTGCTTTGTGGCTAGCAAGAAGCATGAACCTTCTCTGCGCAGTTTCCTATCAATCTACAGGGCCACGGACTCACAGCAGTGCCCCCCACATTTGGACCTGGAATCGCAGCATGCTGCGTGATGCCAGAAGAGACTGTAGGACGAAGTGAAGGGTGAGGAAGAGATCGGCCGTCAGAGCCCTGAACAGTGTAAGGCAGGAGAGCTGAGATGAGGCCCTGCTCTTCTTTATCAAGCCGACTTTTTTTTTTTTTTTTTTTTTTTTGTGAGACAGAGTCTCACTCTGTCGCCCAGGCTGGAGTGCAGTGGTGTGATCTCTGCTCACTGCAACCTCCGCCTCCCGGGTTCAAGCGATTCTCCTGCCTCAGCCTCCTGAGGAGCTGGGATTACAGGCTCCCGCCACCATGCCCGACTAATTTTTGTATTTTTAGTAGAGACAGAGTTTCACCATGTTGGCCAGGCTAGTCTTGAACTCCTGACCTCAGGTGATCCGCCCACCTTGGCCTCCCAAAGTGCTGGGATTTCGGGCATCAGCCAACGTGCCTGGCCATAAAGCTGACTTTTCACAAGCCACCAGATCAGAAGATGCTCCTCAGGGCCAAACCACATGCATTTTGAGTTCTTCTTTTCATTTAATATGGCCAGACTTACGGTTGACCTGTGTAAAATGTTTTCCAGGAAACTGAAAAACCAAATACATACAGAGGCATATTAAATATTCAGCTTTAAGTACAATCTTGCCAAACAATATGCAAAAGAATTTCCCAAAACAGAGGTGATTTGCCTTCCCCTTAGGAGAGTAAGCAGACTTCATCATTTGACTGTATGACAGTCAAACTTGATAAGTGTCCATTTGCATGAGTTTGCAATGTAAACTGAAACAATTATTTTAAACCATCAGTTGGATATTTTAAAATTGGATTTTAAAGAAGCCTGATGGTATGTGTTTTCTTTTCCTTTCTTTTCTTTTTTTTGTTTTTGGAGATTGGGTCTCACTGTAGCCCAGGCTGGAGTGCAGTGGCGCGATGATGACTCACTGCAGCCTCAGCCTCCTGAGCTCAAGCAATCCTCCGGCCTCAGCTTCCTGAGTAGCTGGGATTAAAGGCATGCAACACTACGCCTGGCTAATTTTTTAAATTTTTTCTACAGGTAGGGGTCTCACTATATTGCCCAGGCTGGTCTGGAACTCTTGGGCTCAGGCAATCCTCTCTGCTTCAGCCTCTTACGGTGATGGGTTGGATTTTAACTGCCATCATTAGAATGGAAGCTTTCATGTTTTAATTCTTACGTGGTTTTGAGCAAATGTATTTGATGACAACCTTCAAACTAGGAGAAATGAATTTTTTTCTTCATCTTCAATTACTTCGCTCTCTTCAAAATATATTATGGTTTTTATTGTTTTTGTTCTTGTTTTTGTTTTTGGAGACAGAGTCTTGCTCTGTCACCCAGGCTGGAGGGCAGTGGCGTGATTTCGACTCACTGCAAGCTCCGCCTCCCAGGTTCAAGCGATTCACCTGCCTCAGCCTCCCGAGTAGCTGAGACTACAGGTGCCCGCCACCACGCCCAGTTAATTTTTGTATTTTTAGTAGAGACAGGGTTTCGCCAGTTGGCCAGGCTGGTCTCCAGCTCCTGACCTCAGGTGATCCGCCTGCCTCGGCCTCCCAGTGCTGGGATTACAGGCGTGAACCTCTGCACCCGGCCTATTATGGTTTTTAAAAAAGAAACTCCAGGGATTTAATATGTATGGACATAAAGAATTACAACATAATTTGTGGCCACTTTCTTACTAATATCAGTATACTGTCACACAAATCAATGCACTGGGTCTATCAAATTTTCATGATTCTTTTTCTTCTTATACATTATGTTTGCGAATATATTAGGTGTGCACTTTCAATATATTTGAAAATTGAAAATAAGAAATGATTAAATTCACTTTCATTCATCAATGAGGTTGTATAATATGAAATTGCCAATAATGGATCATTTTGACCCACCAAAATTGCAATCCCATACAGTTTAACCTAATTTGGTAGGATGTTATTTATAGAACAGTAAAGATCACAAGATTTGAAGTCACTTACTGCATAATTTTAAGCACATGATTTATCCTCTCTGGTTTCAATTTTCTCATTTATAAAATGGGGCTAAGATGACCCTACTCACCAGGGTCATCAGGCAGCTTAAATGCAATAATATATGAATTTGCACAATTACTAACACCCAGGAAGTTATCATGAAATTATCGTAAAAACTGGAAGAGTAACAGAGGCCTATATAATATATTCAATTATAATTCCTGTTAAAATATCTCTAGAAGATTACGGGATTCACCAGAGACCAAGGACATCCTTTCTTCCACATGCCCCAGATTAAGGCCACCATGATGTGAGGCTCTCAAGATGGTCTTTCTACACTGCTGCATGGAGGCAGGACAGACTAGTGATTCAAAACATGGACTCCGGGGTCAGGTATATTTTGACTGAGGACTCAACTCTGCTGCCCATAACCTATGTGATTTTGGGCAAGGAACTTGGTCATCCATAAAAGAGGACCTATTAAACATAAGAAAATGTAATTAAGGTCCTTAGAACGTTGCCTAACATATAGAAAGTGTTAAATGTTAACTGTTACTCGGTTTTTCATTACTGTTACTCCGATGACTGTCTCACCCAAGTCCTTTAATTGTGGCTGCAGTCCAAGGAAACTATTTATCACCATTGATAGGCTTTCCACATTTAATTGAAATCTTTCCTTCTGTTAGGCAGAATACCTTTCTTTTTATGGGGCTTTAATATTCATAACATTATTATTCATTGTTTTTCTGCCCCAAAGATATCAAGAATAATTAAAAGAGAAATCTCAAATAATATCACAAAATAGCAATAGTCATATTGTGCACAGGTTCAAAGCACAAAAATTGGAACAAACTGCCTAGATTCGAGTCTCAGTTCTACCACATGTTGGCTTTGTGGCCTTGGGCACATGATTTGATATCTCCAGGCCTCAGATTCCTCATCTGTAAAATGGGTATAATGTTACCCATCTCACAGAAGGGTTATGCGAATTAAAGAGTTAATACCGGTAAAGTACCTCGAACAAGCACCTGGCACACAGTAAGCGCTCAATGCATGTCAGTTATTGTTACCACAGGCACTAGGTTAGGCGAGGGGTTCATTCAGTATTTTTCTTTAGAAACACTCAGAAACATGCCATATCCTATTTGATATAAACATCAGGCACTTTATTATCTTTGTTGCAGTAGTACTAGTCAGATAATCACTTTGCAGGTAAGTTATGAATAGAAACGATGGTGAAATTTAGGCCAGGTGCGGTGGCTCACGTCTGTAATCCCAGTACTTTGGGAAGCCGAGGTGGGTGGATCACCTGAGTTCAGGATTTTGAGACCAGCCTGGCCAACAGGACGAAACCCTGTCTCTACTAAAAATACAAAAATTAGCTGGACATGGTGGTGGGCACCTGTAATCCCAGCTGCTCGGGAGGCTGAGGCAGGAGAATGGCTTCAACCTGGGAGGCAGAGGTTGCAGTGAGCCGAGATCACACCACTGCACTCTAGCCTGGGACAGAGTGAGACTCTGTCTCAAAAAAAAAAAAAAAAAAAAAAAAAAAAAAAGAAAGAAAATGATGGTGAAATTTAGAAAAATACTTATACATTATGATATTTACACCAGAAGTGGTGTGAATCATAGCCAGTTGCATTCTGTAAACACCTTGGTTACAAAAATGATCAATGGAGTTCTTTAATAGAATGCAAGTCTGCCATTGTTTAGAAAACACCTGAATCGTTTTCAGGATTTGAAGTATGTCAGCATTGTCTGAACACAGTGGTCAAATGCTATCAAGTGAATGAGAAATCATCACTCAGTTCAACATTTATTGAACACCACAATGCTAGAATCTAGGAATTCAACTGTGAATAAGGAAGTTATGGTGTACTCTCTGTAAACTTCTCATAAATAATGTCTAAAATACAACAACATTCCTATTGATGTATATTGCTTGCTTCCAAAGACTATGACGCCTGTATCCTCACACGTACATCACCTTTATTTTTCCTATTCAGGTAGGCTTGGTGATGAAGATGGAGTAACGAAACTGACAGGTAAATGATATTGCACCAGATTATAACTGATATCAGGATGATTTCTGCTTTTCAGGAGTGGCCACAGGTACCAAAGGATGGCACATCATACCAGGAATTTGTTGATCTAGTGCAGTGGAACTGCAAGGCAGGTAGGCAAGACCATGTGGAAACTGAACGAGCCGAAATTAGGCTACATTACCTTGAAGCCAACTGTGCATTCATCTGGTCACACCTAGGTATCTTTCACACATGTGCAGTAATTTGAATCCATAAGAAAACCACCAGGAGATGTGACGTCAGGAATATTTCCATCTCTTTTGTGGATATAGTTTGACCTAGCTGGAAACCACACATTCTGAGGCCTGTGTGCTGGCAATCATTTCTGGCTGGTAAATACAAAGACAGACAGTTGGAGTGCCACTGGTGTCTAATGATTACGTGTGGATTATTCACTGGCCTTTGGAGAAATCAACCACGAAACAAATATTTTAAAGACAGGATTTTCAGCAGAGAATAAGAAATTCTCCATAAACTTTGAGACCACTTGCTGGGAGAGGGGGTAGTGTCGTTTTCTCCAGCTCTGGCTCTTCTCCCTTCATTCAAAATTAGGTTTTCATGTTGTAATGTTTTATCACTTCCAAAGGCGAGTTTTCATAGGGGAGTCCTGAAAACAGTTCAGCCCTAACCCTAGAAAGGTATCGAGACATCAGTGGAACTTGAAACCTGATTGCAAGTTAGAAGAGAAAAGAAATGAAATAATGTCCTGTGCAGTCAAAGGTTATTCTGTTGACATGTGCCAGGTGTGAGTAAAAAGACCCGTGTGTGAACAACAATATCCCCAGGAATTTAAGGAAAAGCCTGTTGCCACATTTGTACCTTAGGCCTTATAGAATCCATAGATTTCTGTGACCCCAACTGCTATCCCACCGTCTACAGATAATTGATTCCAATTTGCCACTCCATAACTGTTTCCGTAATGAAATGAACGTAAGAGGATTTTTTCAGTACATTTTGATTGGCTGTGGGAAGCTGGGCAGATTTGTTTTTTTAATTATGTAGTTGAAAACAGTACCCTTTTTAAAGCAAAACACCACCACATGATGAGCTCAACAAAACACCTCCATCTGACCTCTACTGCATGTTTTTTAAAAAACTCATCGAGTGAAGTGGTAATTTAGTCAGTGAAGATAGAGCTCGCCACAATTCAGCTCTAACTGCCTCATTCTGGAGGCGTCATCTTTTCTTTTTTTCATTAATAAAGATTGAATCAGTCACTTGCACAACACTTTTCCTTTAATGACATTTGTTCTAAGGAGTCAACCAGACTAACTGCTTGTCCTTGCCCACTATTAAAGCTCTTGAAAATACCATTTACAACCCTGCTGCCCCAGTGACAGTGCTGGCTTCTCAGCACTTCATTTGCACTCTAGCTCAGAACCATTTCTTCAAAAGTTTCTGATGTGTTCTTTTACTGTTGAGTTTCACGCCTGTAATCACGAGAAATGACTAGGGTCTTGCAGACACCTTTCTTATCTCTAACTGGAATTTCATTTGTGTGCCACGATTTTGTTAAAGGGTGTTAGAATAGAAAATTACTGTAGGTGATAAATTAGGAAAATCCACAATGCATTCTTACATACTGATAATGTCTCTGACCCTCATCTACTCTAACACTACAGAATACATTTAATTTATAAAAAAAAGAATGCTCCTTAGTCATAAGCATTATGATGTTAAGAATAGAACCACTGTCGCAATTTAAGTGCTTTATTTACATCATTTTTTTCCTAACTCTTATAAATTTGTTGATAAGGAGAAATCTGGAGAGAATTACCCAGACTTCATGAGGGGCGTTTTTAAAAATAAATATAATTGTCTGGTGCAGGGGCTCACATCTATAATCCCAGCACTTGGGGAGGCTGAGGGAGGAGGATCACTTGAGCCCAGGAGGTGAAGACCAGTCTGGGCAACACAGCAAGACCCCCGTCCCTAAAAATAAATAAATAAATAAATAAATAAATAAATACAATAAATAGAATGTAAGCTCCTAAAGGTAAAGATTAATTATGAAAATCCACAAACATAGTAGTAAATATTTCTGATCAAGAATGGAAAATAATAAGTCTTTATGTCTTAAGCTCTGATGTCCATTCAACTTTTCAAGATTTCCAAGGATATCACTGAACTATAGATCAGAAGTCAGGTCCAACAAAATCAGTCAGTTATGTTACAGTTAAATTTATTTCGCTTTCTTGAAGATCACAAGGTAAGCTACATATTTAAGAAACATAAGGGGTAGTGAAAACTAGGATGATGCTTTTTCTAACAAGTGATGTATTATGCTTCCTTGATACATCCAAATTTTCATGTAGATTTAAACCCTACTTACCTAAACTGCACATACTTCTTTCTCTCATTTAAGAAAAGCTGCATTTCTGGCTAGGCGCGGTGGTTCACACCTGTAATCCCAGCACTTGGGGAGGCCGCAGCGGGGGGATCACAAGGTCAAGAGATCGAGACCATCCTGGCTAACACAAGTGAAACCCCGTCTCTACTAAAACACAAAAAAATTAGCCAGGCGTGGTGGCGGGCGCCTGTAGTCCCAGCTACTCGGGAGGCTGAGGCAGGAGAATGGCGTGAACCCAGGAGGCAGAGCTTGCAGTGAGCCGAGATCGCGCCACTGCACTCCAGCCTGGGCGACAGAGGGAGACTCTGTCTCAAAAAAATAAAAACATGAAAAATAAATAAAAGCTGCATCTCTTATCTCTAGACAATAGCGAAAATATATAGGCTAATTTTTAAATTCTATTATCGTAGTGGGGTTTGTTTGTCGCTCAGAATTTCTGGCATGCAAATAGAGCTAAGAAGCAGTGTTTCCATGACTGAGATGACATTAAATATGTCTTCATATGGATCGTACTGTATCATTTAGTAGCTCTTCCTAATGAGACATTCACAAGCAGCTCTCAAAAGGCAATGAATCACCATTGCATTGAATTGAATCGAGATAATAATTAAGCACATTTGAAACAACCACATTTGTTATGAATTATGGAAAGGCTATCTTAATTTCTTTACACCTTTTGGGGTATGATGGTTTTATTCTGAGGCTAAAAATACTTGTAACCAAATCTTGAACAGTGTAATTATGAAAAAGGATGGCTAAATCACTATGCAACGTATTAGTGGGTGGCATGGTAATTCACATAATTTCTTTTCAATGTTGCTTTTTATCCCCTGTTTTTTCACTTACATATAACATTTGAACTGACTCATAGGTTACATGATATTTGAAATATGGTGCAACTACAAGACTAAATGCATTCTGCCTTATTCATTACTTGATAAGTTACAAGAAGTTCTTTAGAAGCTTAACAGAATATCCACTTATAATAGGACTGCCAGTTACTGGGAAGATCTGGTTTTCCTGAAGTAAGAAACAGTCATCCAACTAAACTTACAGACAAATGCTTTTAACTGCTAATCAATGTGTAAATCCTCCAGTGGAATGCTAGAGTGCTTAAAATCTGGAACATCAAGCAAAAATACAAGGGACGGTGGAATGGTCAGGGCATAGATGTTCATAATGTGGTCCCAACATCAGACTTAGTTTATTTTCTGAGTAAAGAAAAAAGAAATTGCCTCCTATTGTCTGCCTTGCGTTGTACCTCTTGGGCATTTTTAGTCACCCAAGACAATGACAGAGAACATCCATTTGGGACCAGTGATCTTTTGCACCACTCGTTCTATCTTTGGGAAGTCAAAATTGATTTTCTTCCACTTGTCACACTAAAATCTCAACTCTGTCCTTTCTGTTTCACTCTCAAAGAGTTCAGCGGTATCGGGATCAAAGGATTAGGAAGCCGCAGCTTTAAGGGAGGCAAGCAGCATGAGAAGACTTTGTGGAGGCAGCTCTGAGCATTTTATGTAAGCAATCTATTTCAGCTTCAAAGGAAGCACTGGCTAAGTGGGTGAACAACATGTAAAGTGCTCACTTGACATAAATTTTTTTTTTTTTAAGTAGCTGAGATAAAGACAGCCTCCAATCACTGACCTTTTATTATTAGTCAGAGCCCTGAGTACAAGAGAGACTTCAGCAGAGGTGGCCAACGGGCGCCTGCAGAGACTCCAGGCGCGTTCTTGCCTGTTGGTGCAATATTTGCAGCTGCGGCACTCTCCTTCAAGTTGTTTGTTCCACTCTCTGCCTGATGCTATGGGTATCTGATTTCTATCTCTGGAAACAGCGTGGGAGCCATGTGGCGGTCAAGGCTGGACTTTAACTGCAAAGGAGCACATCACAGCAAGCTCCCAGGGAGCCGGGCACAGCTCAGTATCAGTCTTGGTTTCACTTGAAAAATGTACAGACCTTTTATAAATTATAGGAAAGAGATAATGGAATCCCTATGCATTTACTCTTCTCTTCATAAACCATGGCGAGAATTTTTTTAAAATTCCATGTATTCAGACTAGTTAAAAAATATGGATAGGCTTTTGCTAATTGTACATTTTACTTGGTTTAATAGATATATATATTAGAGTAGAGCTACCATTTGCTGTATGTCACACGTGCCAGGCTCTGGGCTACGTACTTTCCATGTAAAAACTCACTATTCCTAGTGAAAAACCTTTCGGTTAAGTGTTCTACCTCCTATTTACAGAAGAATAAATTGAGGCCCTGCAAGGATTAAGGAATCTGTACAAAGTCACACGGTAAGTAAAAGATCAATTTTCAAATAATTAAAGACAAAAACAATCAAATGTATTTAATATAAAATAAATATTTGGTAAATCAGAAAGCAGTTCCATAGTATATATTGCTTCTGCCTCATCATGATAAAGTTCCATGTTTTCAGCATAACGATCAGTTTTAGTCTGCTTTCTTGATGTAAGGATTCCAGCGCTTTTGAAAAATAAGCTGAATTGATAATGATTTTTTATAGGTGGTGATAGATTTGATTTCTGAACAGCCTACGAAGTCTTACGTGGTTAACATTGGGAGTGTATTTTCACATACACATCAAATTTCTTTTCAAATTCAGTCTCAGACTATAGCCTATGTTTTAGACACATTTCTGTACATAATTAAGCAATTTTCAAATAGAAAAGCGAGCCACCGCATAAATAGAAGACATACTATAGTGGTTAATATTGAATTATGGCATAATTAATCATAGAAACTCATCTGAATCTAATTTATTAGTGTTCCCCAAAAAACACCATCTTTGATTTCTACTAGAAAAAGAAAAGACAAAAGTATAAAAAACAATGCGTGTAATGCATTTATCCTTCTCGTGAACAAGAAAGAGCCACGTCTCTCGTGGGTTGAATGAGCTTTATGAATACTACCTTTACTCTTAAAAACAATCCTGGTTCTTTCCTCTTTCCAGGGAGAGAAGCTAACCTTAAGGGGAGTAATGCTGCTGTGCCTTGTCCCCCGTTTTGGTGACATCTCCTCTGGGGACGGGCTTAAAATTCAGGAGAGATGATGAGGGACAGCGACAAGGGTAGGGCCCCTGTTGGCCTCGGTTTGTCCAGTCCACACATCACTCCCTTAGGAGGGAAGACCACCTATAGGAAGGGGCTGGAAGGACACACAGCAGGTGATGGTGCTCCTATGGTCATGCAGAGCTAAACAAGTGACCTTCCTTGTAGGGTCATCTTCTGTGATACACACCGGTCTACGGAGAGAGGGTACCTAGACTGAGAGAAGAGCCTGGGGCTTAGGTGCGGAGTTGGGAGCAGGAAGAGTGGGGAAGACCTGCTTGGCAAAATAGAGTGCAGTTTGGAGATCAGCAGAAAAGAAGTGATTTAGGCCCTACTGCCAGTCAGGGCATCGGAAGCCTCAGTAGGTGCTGCAGCTTGATGAACATGGAGTTTTGAGAAGATTAATATGACAATGATACAAAAAAAAAAAAAAAAACTAGAGAGGGGGAAAATGGAGGCAGCGAGACAGTTCTAAAAAATCAGGCCCAAATTCCTGACGTCTTAGAAATCAGATGAACCCCAAGAGACATGATTATAATAATACAAAATATAATAAATACAAAATAATAAAAATAATTTGATTAAAATAATCAAACAAAATATTTGAAGGACTGAGATACTGGACAGAAAGTGAGAGAAGCATAATAAGTAAAGGCTTCCAGGCTTTGAGAGGAGAGAGTAACAGGAAGGCCACTGAGTAAAATGGGTTGGGGGGAAAAGAAGCCTATTTTGAACAAACTTTGGTTTTCAATGTTGAGGTGCTGAATTCAAGGAAAATGCTTGCAATCCAAGTGAAGTGAAATCTGTAGCATGTGAGACCAGTGTAAAGGAGACCTCTCTGAAGGGGAGAGGTCAGAGCTGATGGTGTCGGTGTGACCGTCCATCCGCCCGAGGGTGTGAGAGCAGGGGATCTAGAGAGAAAAGCAGGGTGTGGCATGTAGTGTTGCCAGCACTCATCATTTGGCAGGAGGGAGAGGGAAAGAGAAACCTAGATGAAACAGGATTCATGGCGGAGGATGCGGCACAGGGAGGCTGGGGAGGGCTGGAGGTTGTGGATGCTGTGGGGACCACAGCTGCGGAGACACCTCACACTCTATGACACAGCCTGGGTGTAGAGGAGTGGACTGAGACATGAATGAGTTAATTCTACCCCACCTCCCCCTGCAGATGACTTCACTCACCTAGGTCTCATCAACTGAGAGAGAGAGCCAGTCTTGGATCTCATTCTCTTGAGAATTGAATACCCATCAGTACCCCCACGGGCTGCTATGTTCGTGCACCTTCAGATTCCATCTACCTCTCAAAGCCCCAGACTCCTACCCCAGGCAAGGTCCTATTCAGCTACTGTACTCCCAAGCCCAGTTAATACCCCCATCAAATGGTAACAGACGCATTTACACAATTACTAACTGTGCCTGAAGAATTCTCCCAGGCCACCAGGTAATGTTTCTTCAAGAACTTTACTCGGCTATACCTTAAGACCTTAAGATATATCGGCAAAGAGGAGCTATTCTGGTGCGAAGGGGGCTCCTAGCAGTGTCAAAGGACAAGCAGAGGTTTAGGACAGCAAAGACTGGGTCTGCCAGCAGGAGTCTTGGCAGCCTTTGAGTGTAGCTTTGATCTAGTGGTGGGGACGGGAGCTCTACTGCATGAGCATGCACAGTGGGGCCACACGCACACAAGGTGCCTGGGAAGCACCTGCCTTGAGTGTGGGGGATGGGATGGGAGGTAGAGCATGGCAGTGTCAAAACAACGATTTTTTTTTTTTTTTTAAAGAGGGACAGCTGGGCTGGATGCGGTGGCTCACGCCTGTAATCCCAGCACTTTGGGAGGCCAAGGAGGGTAGATCACTTGAGGTCAGGAGTTCGAGACCAGCCTGACCAACGTGGTGAAACCCCGTTGCTACTAAAAATACAAAAATTGGCCGGGCATGGTGCCGCGCACCTGTAATCCCAGCTACCTGGGAGGCTGAGGCAGGAGAATGGCTTGAACGCAGAGGCGGAGGTTGCAGTGAGCTGAGACTGTGCCACCGCACTCCAGCCTGGGCGACAAGGGCGAAACTCCATCTCAAAAAAAAAAAAACAAAAAAAAAGAGGGACAGCTGAGCCCATGTGAATGTGAAGGCTGAATTGAAGGACGTCATGGAAAGTGACAGCTGGATTTCCAAAAGATAGGAAATATACTTTGACCACTAAACCAACGTTGCAACAGAGGCAAGCACAGGTTTGATCAGATGAGCCTGAGAACCTCTGGTGGAGTCTGGGCTCTGCAGGTCTAAGAGGCCACCGCAGTGACATGAAATCAGCTGCTCCCAAGAACACACTTTGAGCAAAGCCCCCTTCTAGGACATACTATGGTCCTGTGGGCCAAATCCAGCCTGCTGCCTACTTTTATATGGCCCTTGAGCTCAGAATGGTTTTTGATAAGAAATGCTACCTTTGAACTCTAATTAGGCAAAATGTCAACTCTCCCCCACAACAATCCATTCTTCTCATTAGTAGACCTGTATTACATTTAAAAAGTATACCCTTTCATTACTACTATATTAAAATTTTGTCAGTAAAATGTGTGGAAATGTGTGGAATACTTTCACACTATTCTTAATTTGTACTCCTGGCCTGCAAAGCCTAAAATACTATCTGTCCCTTTACGGAAATTGTTTGCTGACTCCTGCCCTAGAGTCTTCATGAGAAGTAATTGTTGCTCTTGAGATGAGAGAAACACAGGCAGATTCCCAGAAAGTGAATCATGAGCATATTCATAGAAACTGACGTGTTAAGGTACATTCAGATCTGGCATCTGACTTCTTAATGGGGTGATTACCCAGTGCTTTTTATTATTTTGAAAAGTCAAGTTCTTTTACTTCTCACAAATACTTAACATCATAAAGCATTTATAAAGTACAAAGTCTCCTGCTAGAAAAAGGCATGTTGGACATTAACTCTGTGCTTAAGCAGCTTGCATTATTAAAAAATATCTACAACAGAAAGGGAAAGGCCAACTCTCTTTTGCAACACTTACATTTTTAAGGCTTATGAAACTGACAAAACTTCTGAGGAAACACACGACTTCAAGGACATTCTCTTGTAAATTACAGCAACAGCAGCAGCAGCATTTTTAACCAGATGACCATTTGAGATAACTTAAACTGCTGGAAAGGTATTTTAAGCACAGCTGTGATGCCAAAAGAAGGTACCAAAGGCAGAGCTTTGGTAGAACACAATACATTACAAAAGATGAAAGTCTAAAGTGATGACAATAATAAATTCCTGTTTTCCAGAAAATCGGCATTTTTAGGAGTTCTAAAGTTAATGCACTTAAAATACTTTTGATCATATTTTTCCCAAGCTTTTACATATTAAGAAATTTTCAGACACCCAAAATTTGCTTTATAAGTAGTTCTTAGAAAGACTAAAGGAGCTGTATAGTTATTTTAAAATCCACCCTAAGTGATGTGTAAGTTACTTAGCTGGCAGCTTCAATTTGTAATATGCACTCCCCAAAAAAGCAGGGGGAGCATCAGCTATAATTTTAATAACAGCTCTGCCCCGCCACATATCTTTTTGCATGGGCTGGGAAGCATGCTCACCCTGTGCTAAGAGCTTAAGCTTTGGAGTCCTGTTTAGATAAAGCACTTACATTTAAAAATGAAGTAAATAACTTAATGTGTAAGTAGAAAAAGCTCCCAGCTTAGTTATAAAATATGACATACCAAGTGAACCTAGAGCTGCCTAAATAAGTGTTTTACATTTTCCAGCAGGCTGAACTATGAAAAGCAACTAGAGGACATTCTCCCCCTTGAAGATAATCACTTTTATTGTTGCCGGGTCAAAGATTCAGATTCCACGCAGCAACCTCTGACTAAAGAACAGCAAGTCCTTTCAGGTCAGAAAGTCCAATATGCAGCCCCCTCAGAAGCATAGCATAATAGTCCTAAAATAACAAGCATACATGTAGCTTTCTTAATTTGCCCTGCTGGGTTCCTGTAATAAGTACTTAACAACTGTAGGCTCTGAGCAGCTCAGCAGACATCAACAAGACCATTTGCCAGATGATTTAGCAAACAAATTTCCGAGCATCTCATGCTTATGTTGAGTGCGTGACATTAGCAAACATGCAGGGACTTAGAGATAATAATAGTAGATAGGAATTTTACAAATTAAAAAGAGAGAGAAAGAAAGAACGGGAATTTTGAAGTCTAGAGAATTTAGGCTGATATGCCAAATTCTCTGGCTAGAATGAAGTCCCCCAGATGAATACTCAGTAACTTCTGCTAATTTTTTACTCCTTGAGCAAATAATCTGAAATTGAGTTATTGGGAAGGGACAAAAACTCTGGAATGACTTCCAGGGGAGGAAGAAAAGAATAGAAACCACCTTATTTTTTAGCACAAGTAACTGACATGAAGCAAGCACAAAACACGAAAGGTTCTCAGTAAATATTTATTGAATGAATGACTCCATGTCTATGACACGCATGAGGAATTGACATCTCCATAAAGAAAGCTAGCAGATTCTCAACAAATCATAGGGGTTAGGTAAGCGGGTAGGGCGAAGGCATTCATCAAGGAATCCCTCTCCAGTGTCAGGAATCCAAGGCTCAGAGAGGGAGACATTCTCGTGAATCCATCAGCAGCCCCCTGGCCCATAACAGACTCCTTGAGATGCTTCTAAGTGAGAGGGAATCCAGGTGGCAATGGCACTTACCATTTTAAGAGCTGGAGCAATCCTGAGGCTCTGTGGGGAAAGCAATCATCCCCAAAACAGGAAAACAAATCTGACAATAGAGCAGGGCTGGTCCTCAATAGCCTGGGCATGAGGAGCCAGGAAACCTGCTCTGAGGAGGGAGGTAATTATCCCATCACTTCAGGTCACAGGGAAATTCTATTCTGTTTTCCGAGGCAACATTTTTAACACTTACACAGACATTTTAAATGTGAACAACTCAAGCAATCATCCTATTATATCTGTTAGTTTAGCTGATTTCTTTCTTTTTTTTTTTTAATTTTACAGATTTCTTCTTTCGGTGGATCGTGTAAATTAGTGAGTTGCTTTCACGTCTTTTGGCCAGCTTCAGAGAAGAATGAAGTACCCAATGCTTGGTGAGAGGCAGTCCATGTTCCGGATGTAAAGCACTTCTCACTATATTAATTGTCCGCTGGCTTAATTTTTTCATATTCTGTCGAATGCACTTTGCCTGCGTGTACGAAGGCAGCTTCCTCATCAGATGTGAGTTGGGAGCATCCACATGTACTCCACTGATGCTCCCCAAACTTCCAAGATAAAAATTTCCACAAGGGGAAGATAGCAGTCAAATGTGAGAAGAATAATTTGCAAATAGATAAATACGCAAATAAATAAAACTGTTCATGGAGTTGTCTACTGGAAAACGATGTGCCAAGGGCACAATGAGCGAAAGTGAAGCTTGACAATGAGTTAGGTCGCCAGATGTGGCGCGGTGATTTGGGGGGGCCCAGGGGAGCACCCATGAGGAGAAAGGCTGGGTGTAAATCAGTCATAGCAACGCTCCACTGCACCTGGGGGGCCCTGAGGAAATACGTTAGTGGTGAATCAAGAGCCAGGCTCCAAGGCCCTGAGGCCAGTGTGCTGGGAGAGGGGCGTGTCAGAGGCACATGGGAGAGGTGGGCCTGAAGACAGAGAGAAGCTCTAAGTCAAGCAAAGACCCAGGTTTCTAGAAGTGGTCATGCAAATAGCTGAGGTTCGCAGATTCTATTATTTAATAATTAAATGTAAAGAAGCATTTAGCTTACGTCAACTATTTTAGTTAGGAGAGCAATAGTCACAAAGCAGCAGTTGTGAAATTTATATGGATTGGAAAAGGGTGTGATAGACACGGGGTGGAAGAGTTTCCATTTGTTTTGTTTTAAGCCACGGTCAATGTGGGCTTTCAAAGTCAGATGCCGAAGGAGGAATTAAATTATCCAGTGAGTATTAGAGAGTTATTCTCAAACCGTATTTTACTGTAAGATGGGGTTATTTTAAATTCAGAAAAGCTAATGAGCATAAAGAAGACTGCAAATCTTCTGGGACCATGTGTCAGCTGATCCACAGCTGCTGCAACCGAAAAGTCACAAAGCTTGCTGGGAAATGGAGAACAATGCAGACTCAGTTGTCATGAATATCTTATGTGAAGTTACTTTTTAGAGAAATCTCCAAATGCAATCTCTATAGGCAAACATATACATTTGTATATAGAAAGAGTAAAGCTGTAATCTTCATTGAACACAGAGATTTGTTTCTTTTGGGTTTTTTTAAATTTGCATTTCATTGTTTTTCATGAAAATGAATTTAATGCTTGAATTCTGTACAAGCATCACAGGAAAAGGCTATCAGGAATCTGCAAGAGCCATACAAGGTGTCCCTTAGATAAATAATGGTCAGGAAAGGAAATGTGTGAATGAAAAGACCACGATGTGCTGACTACGTTGAGGCACTGAGCAGAACAGACAGTGGGAGGCAACGACTGAGACAACCTGAGTTGAAAAATAGTGTCTGGAAGACGCAGGGGTGTATACAGTGTCTAATAAAATTCTGCAAAGAAGCTCAAAAGTGATCACGTATTTATTGCAAGGGTATTTTCAAAATAAACTCATTTTGAATTATTCACTCTTCCCCTCTCCCCACCAAAAAAACAACCTATTATGAATTAGTTTGGAGTAAACGTTTTCACAGGTTTTCAACTGGTTGTACCACACACTCTTAAAATAAAGGTATTACACATTCCAAAAACATTTCAACTCTTACATGAGCCTAAAGATAACACCGCTTCAGTCAGCATTATAAGCAACACCACCATTTGAAATCTGTATCAGAGCCCATTATCACCACACACTACATCCAGCAAAATCTGGATTCCTTACATTTCGTAATCATAATGAGCCTCAAAACCTCATCAGAATCTCTGACTCTTTTCTTTCTTTTGTCCCCCGCAGCCAACTCATTACTGAGCCCTGTTGATTTCCCCCTTCATTATCCAGCCCTCTATCCATTACTGTCGGCGCTCTGATGCTTCATTAGTGTCTACCCTTGATGGTGACAGCTTCTGAAACACCTCCCTTCTCGAATCCATGTTATATCTTGGATGAAATTAACTTCCTTGAAACATTTCTCCTTCTTTCTGTCATTCCCCTGCTCTAAAAGTTTTAATGATTCCACGAGGTCTTGTATGCTTCCACCATGTTTAGGAGGGAGGCCTGAGGCCATATGCCCAGGCAATGGTGATATTCAGCAGCAGATGTCCTTCCAGAAGGGTTGTGAGGCTGTGCCCACGATGAGGGGCCACCTGCCAAAGACACTCCAATGGAGCAAGAACTGTAGCAAATCCCTCCAGTGCAGCCACCAAAACTCTCCCTACTCTCCCTCTCAGGTTAGCGGGAGAGGCGTTGGGAAAGAGGGAGGATACAGGCCCAGCAAAGCGGGGGAAAGGGAGTTAGGAAGAGCAACCGCTGCTCCAACTCAAGTCTGTTGGCTTAAACTCTTGGCCCCAGAAACAGGAACTCAAGTCTCCCAACTGCCTTTGTCATTTATTGAAGACCTTAAGACAGCTCTCAGCGCTCCAAAAATCATGAGGCATTCTTTGCCCTCTGTTCTTTGAGAAATCAACTTCTACCACTTTGGGGACTGGGAACTGGCCAGGGGATGGTGAAGGAAGCTAACACTTAATCTTTCTCTCCAATGCCCTAAACTTTTACCACGCTACCTACCTGTGGCCCTGAAGTTGGGGGTGTGAGTTTATTTTATGTGATAGCTGGGTGGAGGAGAAGGAACCAAAAGATTCTATTTGAGCCCATTTTCTTTTCTTTTTCTTTTTTTTTTTTGAGATGGAGTTTCACCCTTGTTGCCCAGGCTGGAGTGCAATGGCACGATCTCGGCTCACTGCAACCTCCACCTCCCTGGTTCAAGTGATTCTCCTGCCTCAGCCTCCCGAATAGCTGGGATTACAGGCACCCACCACTACGCCTGGCTAATTTTTGGATTTTTTTGTAGAGACAGGGTTTCACCATGTTGGTCAGGCTGGTCTCGAACTCCTGACCTCAGGTGACCCACCCGCCCCGGCCTCCCAAAGTGCTGGGATTACAGGCTTGAGCCACCGCACCCGGCCTGAGCCCATTTTCATAATGACACATTGTCTCCCAGGGCTTGGGGATCGTGTAGGCTTTCCATCCACCCTCTTCCTCAAGCCCTCTTGATCTTTCACAATGTTGCCCTGCCCTTACAGGCACAGGTTCTCTGGATGAGCCGCCTGCACTTCCCCTCTGCCTGCCCAGCTGTGGATTAGGTTTAGTCATGGGCACTCTCTCTCTCTCTGCCACATTCTGTGTCTGGCCCTGCAAACCCAGCAGCAAGATCCCCTGTGCCTCACTCCGAGGCAGAGTCCCAGATTGTAAGCGAAGCAGTGGAATTGGACCTGGGATTAAAAAGTGCAGTTCAGGCCAGGCGTGGTGGCTCACAACTGTAATCCCAGCACTTTGGGAGGCCGAGGCAGGTGGATGACCTGAGGTCAGGAGTTCGAGACCAGCCTGACCAACATGGAGAAACCCCGTCTCTATTAAAAATATAAAAGTAGCTGGGTGTGGTGGTGCATGCCTGCAATCCCAGCTGCTTGGGAGGCTGAGGCAGAAGAATCACTTGAACCCGGGAGGCAGAGGTTGTGGTGAGCCGAGATTGCACCACTGCACTCCAGCCTGGGCAACAACAGTGAAACTCCATCTCAAAAAAAAAAAAAAAAAAAAAAAGTGCAGTGCACACATCTTAGTTGTGCATTCAAAGTTCACCAGGAACTTCAGGAACTTCCAATCCGTTTTAGAATTTTAGTTCTCTCTTTCCCCACTCACAAGCCCACGTTCCAGTTAAACAGAGCTATAAAACTCTCAGGCTTTCCAGTCAACTGGAACAGGCTCCTGGTCTGATTTTGCTTTTAACCAATCCCATTGGCACAGGGACAGGCCCAGACGCTTGTTTCCTTTGTTGAATGAATGAATGTGCTTCACACATACCAAGGGTTTTTGTTTACATATTGGAAGTGGTTGTCCAATTTGTTACTATGATTACATAAAGAACTTTGGAGACTGTGTAGATAAAGCATGCTGGGGTGGTGTTTCTACCAAAATACCTGAAAATGCATAGTTATTTTTCTATTTCCTAAAAGACTCTTTAACATTTTCCAGAAATTTCAGTACTAGAATTAATAAGACAAGTATGCCTACCATTGACAAACCAAAATCCTTGTTTTGTTCTTCAGAGGCAGTGGGTTCTGAAGTATATCTGACTTCAAGAGCCCCATGATGAGACGAATGCTATGTGTATTTTGTTTCTAACCTAAGGGGGGCTTCCAGTAGCTCTGCTTGCCTTTCCAGACCCCCCACCCTGCCATGGGAATAACTTCAGACCCCCTTCCGCTGCTCCTGCTGGCCAGCCGCTGCCCCCACCCCTGGATCTTCTTGGATCCTTCCCTTAGCATCTGCTCGCAACTCCTGCCCCAAGGTCTGATTTTGAATGAGCATCTCTGGTTGACCTCACCCTCTCCCACCTGCACAGTCCTGGAATGTTTACCCTCCACTCACAGCTCACAGATCCTGTCCTGTCACACAGCATCAGTCAGGCCTATGTCTCGAAACTGTTCATCTTAATCGAAAATGTGTCTGTTTTACTAACTTAAACACTGAGATTGCTTAATTCAGCTCCACTGTTATCAGTGAATTGTTTGTTTCTCCTTAGAAATTGGAGATGATTTTGACTGTCCCCGACAAAAAAAGAAAAAAACATTAAAATGAATACAGATTTAAGAGGTTCCTTGAGTGAGACACCAAAAAGTCCCCAAATAACAGAGCTTGTGATTGACTTTTTCTAACGTACTATCTGGTTATTTAAAGTAGTGGTTGTCTCTTCTTTAATTAAAAAAGGAACTCTAGGCTGGGCGTGGTGGCTCACACCTATAATCCTAGAACTTTGGGAGGCCAAGGCAGGTGGATCACCTGAGGTCAGGAGTTCGAGACCAGCCTGACCAACATGGTGAAACCCCATCTCGACTAAAAATACAAAAATTAGCTGGGCGTGGTGGTGTATGCCTGTTATCCCAGCTATTCGGGAGGCTGAGACAGGAGAATCACTGGAACCCGGGAGGTGGAGGTTGCAGTGAGCCGAGATCGCGCCATTGCACTCAAGCCTGGGTGACAGAGTGAGACTCCATCTCAAAAAAAAAAAAAAAAGGCACTCTAGTTTCTAAAGTTATTCTTCCCCTTGGCTGGTTCTGTTTGTATGAACGGCTCATTTCATAGCAATTGACATCACCCTATGAATTCAGGATACTGAAAGGAACAGTTTGCATTTTTAATTGTTCTCTATCAGTCTGTCTATATGCTTCTAATCTTCCATGCCAGGAGCTAATTTTCTATAATCTGTGTTCTTTCTTATAGGCTAAGCACAGAGTACAAAAAAAGAGCATCCTTCTGTAGAGAATAACTTAGCCAAGGACACTGTGCTCCGTCTTTATGATGAAATACATATTTCCCATTAAAAGGCAAATCTGTCATTTTAAAAGGTTGAATTGGATGTACTTTAAAAATAATTCCAGCTGGTTAAATTGAGAGCACTGAAAAAAAGCTCAATAAGAATGTTCTCTTGGTCTGTGGTATTTTCATTTTCCTGAAGTGTGAATTGGATATATTTTCTTTTACCTTAAACCCTTTATTCTCAGTGTTTGATTCTGAGTCAGTGGAATAAGTTTTAAAGATGATTTGGGTTCAATAATACTATTTCTAACACCTAAGTTTTTATTTTGGCACCATTATTTCTAGTAAAAGAGAACTGGCCCATTTAGACTGATTCTTTTTCTATGATTATGCAAGAAACACGGATATTTTCCCATGTTGTTCCGCCCCCTATGTATCATTTCTAGACCTTTTAGAGCCTTCCTTTGAGACCACTGTCTGTTTAATATAAATTTTTCCATAAACTGAATGACTAATTATATCCTGATAAAACCCAAGCAATGTATACCTTAAAATATGCGGCTGGGCACAGTGGCTCATGCCTAATCCCAGCACTTTGGGAGACCCAGGCAGGCAGATCACTTGAACCTAGGAGTTAGAGTCCAGCCTGGGCAACATGGCGAAACCCTGTCTCTACAAAAAGTACAAATACTAGCCAGGTGTGGTGGCCTGAGCCTAAAGTTCCACTACTCGGGAGGCTGAGGTGGGAGAAATCATATGAGTCCAGGGAGGTCAAGGCTGCAGTGAGCTGTGATTGCGCCACTGCACTCCAGCCTAGGCGACAGAGCAAGATCCTGTCTCAAAAAAAAAAAAAAAAAAAAAAAGCAATGATGTTCCACAAAGCCATCTATGGTTACATGTATCTATAGTACCACGTCAAGTGATTTAAAACTTGCACCTGGATTTTCACACCTGTAGAAAACCTGAATGCTGAGCTATTATTTTTTTCTAACAACACAAGCAGAGATACAAAAACACACTTTTTCATGGGTCGATTTTCAACTCTTTAAAATTGTATCTGGGCGAGTTTAATCTTCCTCGCTAACCACCAATGATTTTTGCTCCTAAGATACTGAATAATGAAATGGGCAATAGGCAATGTTTCTTCTTTTTTTTGTTTTTTGAGATGGAGTCTGGCCCTGTTGCCCAGGCTGGAGTGCAGTGGTGCGATCTTGGCTCACTGCAACCTCCGCATCCTGGGTTCAGGCCATTCTCCTGCCTCAGCCTCCTGAGTAGCTGGGATAGTAGAGACGGGGTTTCACCATGTTGGCCAGGCTGGTCTTGAGCTCCTGACCTCAAGTGATCTGCCTGTCTTGGCCTCCCAAAGTTCTGGGGTTATAGGAGTGAGCCACCGTGCCCGGCCTGAAATGTGCAATGATTCTTCAGGTATAGTACTGATCAGTCAACACCATTCAGTCCCCACACCGGTACTTCCTAGGCTTATGGCAGCATTTCTACCAGCTAGCTTTCTCAACTGTGTCCCAACACTATCTAAACTATACTGAAATTTGTTGTTCAAAGTTTACTAACATACACTTTCATCTGGTTTGCAAAATGAGGCAGAAGTAGGCAAGGGCCTACTTCTTCTTTCATGTGTTAAGAACTTTTTTCAGTTATAATTTGACTTTGTCTTCTTCTATGGGAAGGCCTCCCAATCCTCTTTTCCATCTAGCTCCTTCCTCATTTCCACTTGTGTCTTTACAAAATGTCTCAGACCATGGTTTTACACCTGTCTCAAATGATATTTGTCATTCCTTTGCTTCCCTCTGCTCTGTCCTTCATCATCGGGTCTTCAGTCTCTCTGCAGCCCAGGCCTGAGCCAGGAGCTGAAAACAGTCCGCATCCACTCCGCACTACCTGACACCTGCTCGTCAGGAAATGGTCGCCTGCACCTATTTCCATTGCCGCTGACTTTTCCTGTCAGCTTCATTCCAACTGCTCCACATCCCAGGGCCATTTGTAATTTAGGTGTTATGATATTTGTCCTTCCTCTTCTCACCAAAGTAGCGGGCTATCCGCAGCAAGCTGCACAGTTCACCCCAATACCTGGAAGGGTTGGCTGAATCCCAAAGCCAATCCTGATGTGAGTGTCGCTCTGACAACCGACTGAGGCACACCTCTTTCTCACCGCCTTGAGTTCACAAAGTGCTGCACCTTATTCCCAATCAATCAAAAGGTCCCTGCCCTCAGTAAAAGTAATCTGATTACTTGATTAAAGTAATACAACCTAAGGTGTAAATGGCTGATAAACGAAGCCATCTCTACAGGAATTCCCTTTGGAAGGAGAGTTTATTCGTGCAAATGAACCTCTAATCTGCAGAATGTGTAGGGAAGATATTGTTGCCCAGAGTAAACGGCCCAGGGTCAGAAGCCTATTCTAGGCCTTCCCACCAATTCTTTTATTTTTTTAAATTTTATTTATTTTTTATTTATTTTTTTTGAGATGGAGTCTCACTCTGTCGCCCAGGCTGGAGTACAGTGGTGTGATCTTGGCTCACTGCAAGCTCCGCCTCCCAGGTTCAAGCGATTCTCCTGTGTCAGCCTCCTGAGTAGCTGGGATTACAAGCACGTGCCACCACATCCAGCTAAGTTATGTATTTTTAGTAGAGACGCAGGTTCACCATGTTGGCGAGCCTGGTCTCAAACTCCTGACCTCAGGTGATCCGACCGCCTCGGCCTCCCGAAGTGCTGGGATTACAGGCGTGAGCCACTGAGCCCTTCCCACCAGATCTTTATCTCTTTGCTGAGTGGGAGAACAGGGTTGACAAACCAGCACCGCATTTCTGAGAAGCTGTGAAACTTTACTGAAAGGGCACTCCAGATTATATGCAACTAGGTAGCTGCTCTAAATCTGACAAAACTAAAGTTATTGTCACTATTTAAACCATTTATATGCAAAAGACACTTTGCTCTTACCACAGTACCTATTTAGGGCCCTTTACACATTTTTTTTCTTTTTGTATTGTTGAGCTGCAACTTATTATTTCCCTATGCAATACCACGGTGGGATAATTATTTTTTGAGTATTTATTAAGTAATTAAAGCAGTGGTTTGGAAACTTTTTTTATCCTCTGAATAATATCCTCTGATGGTGAAATGAACTCCTAGAGAGGAAAAAAAACCCCTGAACTTCTTTTGTTAAATTGGGAGTGGAGCCCCCAAACACAACTGGCTATTCCCTATCTCACATCCCTCCATGGCTAGGCAGGGTTATCGTGGCATAGTTTTCAACCTACTGCTATAGAAGATACTAAATAGCAAGGGTATTAACCCCAAGCTTTGAGTGTAGATGCAAACAATTCACTTAGGAAAATCAGGCTAACCAATGTTAAACACTGAACGCCCGCTGCAGTGTAACTGGTTAAAAAGCTTGTAGACAACAAAAATAATAGAAACACAGCTTATTATTTGTATAGGAAATAGATTAACAAATAATGTCATCAGTAGAACCAGAGAACTTTTAGAAGGAGTTTAAATTGTGAAACTGTAACATGCTGACATGAAATGCAACAGCAACTCCGAGGATGGGAAACGTGAACAATGGCAGAGAAGGAGAAAGACAACTTCAAGGAGTCAGGTCCTGAGCTCCTTGGCATCCGAGAAGATGACCGGAAATGATGCATCACATTTGAGGACGAGAGAAAGGAAACAAGAAGGACCAGTGCAGGAATTCTAGTCAAAAGAAGCCATGCTCTTTAGGTTTTGGGTTTTGGTACGGAGATGTGAAACTGACAAGGTATGACTGTTTTAAAAACATCAGGGTATGTTCCTTTCAAATGTGTAGAAAATGTTACAAAGAAGAAAAAGAAAAACTTTAATGATCACAACTTTTCTTAAAGTCACAGTATAAGGTTAAAGGAGCTTCTAGAATCTTCAGCAGAACCAGGGCACAGGTCCTCTCCACAATCAGCCCTAGTTACATTACTACACCCGAGGGCTTAAGCTCAAATGAGACTTTCCAGCCAGAGAGGGCAATGACGGTGAAAACAAGATGGGGAAGGTGAGGCGCCTGGTGTCCAGGGCCAGGCTTACCTCCTGCCACCCAGAACTTGCTTGCCTTGACCCTTGAGAAGAGGCTTACCCTTCCTACTTGGCTCACTTCCTGCCTCTCAGATGAGGCGTGGCTATGGTGAATTACCAACCTTCTGAATTGGTAATCCCACACTGACTTTCTGGATGCTACACTTCCAATCTGTCCGGAATCTAGACACGCTACACATCTTCCTGAACCATCTGAATGTTACATCTAGGAAACAGATGATCCTTAGCAACTCGGTCCAAAAAGCATGTCCACTGGTTTGGATCTTCAAGCGGAAGAGACTCCGGGGAAATGGTAGGCAGGTGTGCTGTCTACCACAGCCCAGGTACATTCACTCCGCACGGGGGATGGCGTGGGGATGAAAACACTCTTTTCTCCTGGTGTCCTGCAGGGAGAATGCTTAGGAGACTCCAAGCAGTGAGACACTAGGGAAAAACAGCCCAAAGAGGACTGTTAGCTCCTTTCTGAAGCTCAATCCAAGATAAGTTCTCTTTCTAGGGCAGTTAATCTTGGCCCTGAAAAGAAGTTGCCAGAAGGGTTATTGATTTCAAACCTACAAGCTGCTTGCAGGAGTTGAGGTCTAGCCAGAGCCTCGGATAGATTTTCAAGGTTAGAGAATTTTTTTTTCTGAGAATATAATGGAGGCCATGATTTCCTTCATAAATAGTAATAATTAGTGTTTGAAGTTAAGTGAGTTAATGTTTATAACGAGTACAAATCTTTTATTTTTTGGCATTTGAATTTCTTTTTAAATGTCTTTACATGGCATATTGACAAATTAATTTAGGGTTATGACTAGTAATTAATACTGAGTGTAGCGAAGTTGTATTTATACTATTATTTCAAGGTTTTTTTATATTTTTTAAGAGACAGAGTCTTGCTCTGTCACCCACACTGGAGTGCAGTGGTGTGACCACAGCCCACTGCAGCCTTGACCTCCCCAGCTCAAAGGATCGTCCCACCTCAGGCTCCAGAGCAGCTGGGACCACAGGCGTGCACCACCATGCTCAGCTAATTTTTTCTATTTTTTGTAGAGGCGAGCTCTTGCTATGTTGCCTAGGCTGGGCTTGAACTCCTGAGCTCAAGAGATCCTCCCACTTTGGCCTCCCAAAGTGCTCGGATTACAGGCCCAGCCTCAAGATATTTTTTAAAGTCATGCTTTAAGGTGGCATTCCACGTTAAAATATTCTCCCTCATTCACTTCAAGACAGGTTGATCAGCCATCAAGGCCTGCCCTAGACATACAGGGTCGTGTGGATAACAGGCACGTTTTGGGGGCTTCCTTTGCAAATCAAATCTCTCTAAGAGATGGCAAACACCAAAAAAAGGGATCCATTATAGGTTGCTCATGTTATATGCCCTCACAAAAGTGACAACATTTCTCCTACATGGCTTGCTTGAATAGAACTATTATAAAGAAGTCCTCTGAATATATAAGTGTGTGTGTGTGTGTGTGTGTGTGTGTGTGTGTGTGTGTGTGTGATAGAGACTGTGTTGGTCACTTATTTCATAAGCCTTGCAGTGATAATTACAGTCTGAAGTGACCCTACTATGTCTGAATACTTCCATGGTAAAAAATAAATTCTATCACGACAAAAACTTTTGGAAAAAAACATGCATAGCCAGTCTAACCTTTAAAGGTCGCTGAGGAGCTGCAATCTTTATTTGAATTCATTATGAAATCAATAAAACCTCTGGTTAAGATTCATGTAATTATAAATAACACGGAAGACCGTGAGGAGAAAAAAATGTTTGTCATAAATCTTTCATAACTTCTCAAACTTCACTTGTCTCCCATCACAGGGTTACATTTTCCACACCCAAGGAAGACTATTGTACCATTGCAGAGTATTTAGTCTGGCTGGCTGGCATGCTGCCTAAGCTTTTATGAGTTAAAAAAAGATCACATAATCTGTCTTTTGATATTTTGGTTCATGTTTTTCAGCAGGCTTGTATCTTAGCCAAGGAGTGCATATTGAGGCGAAATCCTCATCTTAAGAAGCGTCGTGGAAGAAGCTATAGGTAAACTAAAAGCGTGCTGGTGAAAAGATGTTTTTCTCTTTCTCAAAAGATACATCAATTCCTAGTTTCAGAATATATTCCGGTAACCCTGCGAATTCCATTAGTGTAAATACCGAAGGTTTGGCAACACGCGTGCATCAGTACACATCAGCATGAATGCCACAGTGATTTTCAGCGGTACTCAGCTTCGTCCCAATCAGAAGGCTCACTTAACAATTCTGCTCAGAAACAACGAGGACAAAAAGCAGCTCGGATCAAGGATACCATTTGATTTGCCTGCACTAATAAGTGCCATAAATTATTTAAGGAACTTCAAAGTCTTGAAACTGGTGAAGTACACCAGGGCAAAAGTAGAATTTGTTTGTTTATTATCAATTATTTACACAATATGTTTTACAACATCAGATGTGTAGAAAAGGCATAATCCTGAGCAATGGTGCACAATAAAAAATAGATTATGTTAATTCTGGTGAAAGCTTTTTAACGTAGGCCATGAAGTTGTGGACGCCATTTGATGCAGTATTTATAAACGTTTCAATAACAATCTCAATAATACTGAACTCTGAAAACCATTCTGAAATACATTTCTATTTATGATACCTGGGTGAGTGCACACATAATTTCTTTTTTAAAAAATTTCAACTTTTACCATTTCTTATGTAACTATAATAAAAGCATTTCAAATCTATGCTAAAATGGTGACTCCAAAATAAAACATGATTCTTGCTCAACTAATAACATCTTTGTAACACAGGGTCACACAAAACAGATGAATCAAATCCACATCTACCCAAATAGGTCAGCCAAAAAATAAACATGTCAATCTTTTTAATCAAGCCAGCACTTCAAATCTAATGTAGTAATTATAGATGAAAATGCTGCTCAGATGAAGAGCTATACCCCTGGGACGCATGGAATGTACGCCAGGACGCTATTGTTTTTTAATGTGCCTCCGGTCAAATGTGGTAAACTTCACACTTTTAACCAGTGCTGTTTGTAATAGATTGAATGAAACAGGTCTACAAAAGAACCAATAAATGTAAAGACTGGAAAGAATTAGAGAGGCTCGCAGTCTTGTACCTATTGTCCGGGGGAATTAGATGTCAGTTTGAGTATTATAACTCTGACAAAGGTTTCCGAGCTTTAATTTACTAGAACATATAACGGGCAAAGGAGAGGCTGGGAAACACAGTCAGTCTGAATACATTATTTAACAAACAATTTAATGAATGTTACACACATTTTTATACTCGTGACATATTCTCCCCATTCATTTTTCAGAACCTTGTTTATCAATGAAACATACTTTTCTACAACAGCATCCTCCTAGGTTCCTCAAATTCCAAACCTGTGATGGTGTATACTTCATGCCAAATAATACACTCATGGGAATACACAATGCTTACCTTAACTTCATGATGAAAGAAATACTGGAAAGCTTATTGCTAGGTTCAGCAGGCACACAAAACACCATCATGATAGGAAGATTAGGTGAGTAATTGCTGGTTCAGCACATATGCCTACACAGAACAAGATTTCACAGGAATTCTCATCCAGTCTTTATTTTTCTAGCCACAGACAGAAGTTTAGGAAAGCTTTGTGGCTGGCATGCAGAAGAAAGATCCAGTGCCTTTTTATTTATTTACTTATTTTTTACCAAATCCATGGACTTAACTGTGCTTAACTCACAAAGCAGTTGTTCAACCCCTACATACACACCAGATGCAATTTAGATTGGTTGCATCCCCCACACTTATCTTGGGAAAGGAGAAAACATTCCATTAATCAAAACTAATGCATAAACACCCTAGGGAATAAATGGAAACCACACTGCAAAGTGAGAATTAGTATTTTCTGTAAAACATGAAAGAATGACATACCAGAAAGCTAGCCAAACTATCCCAAGAATAATCAACATGTTGTAAGCCAAAAAGTATTTGATTCTCTGTTGACGTTCACTGTATGCCAGTTAATGAAAGGCACAAATTTCAGTAGTCCTGCCTGATCTTCCACAGTGGTCAAACCTGACTTCCAGCGAATACATCAAAAACCAGTCAATAAACAAATACTGAAAAGTGCCAGAGAGCCATAAATTTGAAAGGGCAATGGGAGATACAAAGATAGTCCTTCCTTGTCTTCAAAGAGTTTACAATCTAAGAAAATAAGTTTTAAGTACTCTACAACATGGTTGAAAGACTTTATGTAAAGAGCCAGATAGTAACTACGCTTTGTGGACCCTCGGTAGAAACTATTAAACTCTGCTACGTATGTATGTTGTCGTGTCTCTGGCATGAAAGCAGCCACAGACAAGATGTAAAAAAAATGGGTGCAACGGTGTTCCAATCAGACTCTTTGTGGATGCCAATTTGAATTTCATATAATTTTCCCGTATCATGAAATATTATTCTCGGAGCTTCTTCCCCTCTATTTAAAAGTGTAAAAATCATTCTTAGCATGCAGGCCATACAAAAAAAATAGGTGGCAGGGCTGATTTGACCTGGGGACCATACTTTGCTGCATCTTGCTCTAAAACGGTAATTATGTAATAAATAACAGAATGATGTATTGGCTCATACAATTATAAAATTAAAACAGTAACCAACTGGGGATGCAAAAGTAGATCAGCGATAATCTGTGATCTAAAATGCAGTTACGATTTAGTTGAAGACAACACAGTTATTTCACGTACAACACTGAAAGGAAATCCCAGTAAAAAGGGCTTTAGATCTCTGGCTGATAGCAGAGTCCCTGATACATGCTAAGAGTATTCAGGGTGAAATTGAGCATGGAAGGCTGGGAGTCCATGGTGATTTCAACAAAAATTGTTAAGTATTTATTAGTACATATGATGTAATGGTAAACCAGTAGGCAGTGCTCCTAATACCTAGGCTCTAACCATCCTAAAAGAATCAAAAAAAAATTCTAGATAAAACTAACCGCACTAAGTTTAGCAAGGGAGATGTAACATGTACGTAAGGAGAAGGGAGAAGAATTAGCAATGGGACGGATGATCTGCCTGACACTCTAAGGGAGGCGGCATCTGAGACTGTCTGGTAATCATGGGTGTGTGATTGACTGGAAATGGCAAAAAAGGACATTCTAAGCAGAGGAGAGAGCCGGAGAAAAGGCAAAGAGTGGGAGGCACACAGATTCCAGGGGTCAAGGAGAACCTCTGAATAGCTCAAAGGATGAGTTGGCAGTAGACAAGAAATAAAGATGGATTCATATTAAAGAGAGCTTTGAATGCTACCCTGAAAAATTTGGACTCAATCTTTACGTAAATGAATGCCCCAAAATGCAAGCTCTTCTTATACAAATGACATTTCAGTAAAGCTGAAATCTTTATCACCCAAGTTTAATAATACTCTAATCACAAAATGAAAATTTTTATAAAATAATTTCAAAGCATACATTTTTAAAATCCTGTCACTGCTCTGAACAGAAATCAACTGGAATTTTGTAACACAGGGCTAAAATGGTTAACCAGGATATCTGGATTTTAGGATAGGGCCTAGCACACAGTAGGTACTCAATAAATAGACAAGTAATTTTATATTTCCTTTTGGACCTATACCAATATCAGGGATATGAAGCAGAGTATAATTTCAAAGCGTAAGAGACATGAAAATAATTTTTTTCTTCAATATAACATGAACTTTCAGGATCCTCAAATGCCCCTTGCCCCCATTTTCAATGTGTTTCTTTGTGTGGGCAAAACGTGAATTATGCCAGGGTTATTTCACTGATCATAAATTGCCCTTAATTGTTTTCAATAAAAAATGTTATTTAGTAAGACATAGTATAATGGGAGAAAAAAAAGAAAAGTCAGAGCTTGGAAACAATCTGGACATTTACATTTGACCCCTCCAGGTAAATGTGGTTCTCAAATTTCCACTGGTCTGTTAATTGTCATGGGAGTACAGTTATAAACGGATTACTGGCTTCCGTCGTCCTGTAAACCTTGTTGCAGCACTCTGCTATCATGAACCACATGAAATGAGGTACTTAGAGGACGTCCAATTCTAACCTCACTGAATGAGGAGCCAGAAATTGTACTTGTATCCGGCTGTTAGCGCAAGGTTTCAGACGGGAGGTACGCAGAAAGAACAGTGCATACTTGTTTCAAATACTGGTGGGCTGATTTTTACACACAGTTTTCTGTAGTTATCTGAGTTGCTTATATGTCAGAGCCACACCAGAAATCCTTAAGAAGGTACCGTCAGAGCCAATTAATTTAGGAAAGCTTTGTTGAGTCCCTTCCAGAGATCTAGAATTTCATGTGTAAGGGCAAAAAAAGAAAGACCAAAATGAGGAAATGTTTCTTTTTCTTTAAATTTGCAGCAAAACTCCAATTTATTAACAATTTAAAAGCATGCATTAGTATGTTTATAGAAAATGAGACAGTGTAGGAAAGAACTCAAAATATAATACTTGTTCATCTTCCCATCTCATTAGTCATTTCAGTGATTTTCTAAAGGAAACGAGAAAACAGTTCGTAAGAAAATTAGAATTCCCAAAACAAAACAAGCAAACAAAAACCACCCTAAAGGCAAAATCCACAAAATTGTATTTTCAAAGATGCAGATGTCTGCCTTACGCATAAATTTGGCTCTAAATAGGTGAGATAATTCTGGATAGAAAGGACTTTGGCACTACTCAGTTCTCAGGAAGGCCACCACTGTGGGCCAGCCAGGGCTATCTGAGCACACTCATGCAGCCTGGCCCCCACCACCCCCAACACACACACCCACACGCCTACTGATTTATGGGCATGACTAATTATGCTTCTTCAAAAACTGCAGTCCACACCCTTTTGGAAGTTTTCCAGACCACCAACTTCTGAGATGTGTGGGGGCGAACTGAGACCATGCTCACCCAGACATATGCCTGGAAAAGCCTCAGAAATGAGCCCAGGAGTTTGTGCCGCGCCCCACATCAGTCTTCTTGTCTCAAGGTCAGATGCTACACAGTCTCCATATCTAGTTTCCCAGTGGATCTTTCCCCCTAACTTTTGACTTTCTTATGTGCATACATCTAAATAAGTATAAGCTTTGGTGTTTCTGGTTGGCTGCAATATTACGGATGTAGTATGTAGAGTGAAAATCGTCCACTCATTATGGAGTCTGTGCTTCACAGAATATTTTTTGTATGACACGGAAGAGTAAAGGATTGATGTACTGGTGACATTTGAGCAATCATACCCACTTAATCCAGAAAAATCTCACTGAGCTAGAGTTACATAGTCTTCCAGCACCGGGAGAAGAAAGGCCACCAAGAATCACACATCAAAGTCACCTGTTACACTTTATCAAGTGAAAAAATAGATGAATAGCACTGATAACTCACAATAAATTTCAGTGAATACAAAAAATACATTTAAAAATTGTATTAATTTTTATATTTTGATTATTTAATATTACAAAAATTTCCATTTACTTATTTACTTTCATTCACCCAAAGTCTTACAGCTTTTAAAGGCCGCAATATTTTGATTAAAATCAAAATATTAAAATATTTAACATAATCCTCTCAATTATACTATACAGCTTTTAAAATATTACTGAATTATCAGCAACTAGGTTAAAATTAACATGGCACAGAGAGGCACGTGACAAGCAAAGTGGACATGAGTCAGTCAGTACATGTTCACTGCACATCTCTAGGACTGGGCAGGGCCAGATGCTTTGGAGAAGACTATTACTGGCCTTGCCCCAAGGAGCTCTAGTGAGTAGAGGACTCAAATTGCACCATATCATGCTTCCCTTCTGCAATTAGCATTTTGATACCCGGACCATGTGATACTGTCAAATCATGATCTTTCACTTTTTGCCACTTTTACTCACTCATTTAATAATATACAAAAGAACAGAATAGCTCACAAAGTCATACTGGACCCACTTCAAAAGACCAACTTCAATCCTGCAGGAGCTGGAATTTTAAAATGAAAACAAAACCAAAAAATATCAACTTCAACCTAGTCTTTGCAATGTGTGAGATTCATCTACGGTAGGTTAGACACCTGTGACAGACATGCACGAGATTAGGGGATCAACTGTCCTGAGACATATGGAGCCGAATCTAGGTGTTTAATTTAATGTCAGAAGATGACTTGGATGCTCAAGGTTTCTTGAGAAACCTTGAGATTTGAGAAGAGGCATCCAAATCCTCTCATCTACAGATATGGAAACTGAGGTCTATTGAGTTTAAGTGACTTACTAAGGTCACAATTAGTGATAAATTCTGGGTTAGAATGTAATTTTTCTGACTCTCAAAAGCACTCATTTTATTTACCAAAGTTTTCAAATACTATAACAAAGTGAGGCGGAATGAAATATATATAATGCTAATATATAACATATATATATTTGCATTTGGTTGTATCTTATCTTACCTCCTCCAAATTATTGAGACCTTCAAAATTGTATTTCAAAACAAACTTTCTGTTTAGTATTTAAACACTGTATCACAGTACAGAAAGGTCTTGGAAACCTAAGCTTAATTTTTGGCACTGTTTCACACAGATTGCTGTTAACATGCCACAAGCTGTAGACACTTAAAAATACTGTTTAATTTTCTTTAATCCATTTCGTTTTATGGATCTAAAGTGGCCATCAGACAATAATAAAGCAGTTTCCATAAGGAATAAATTGTTACTGCTTGACAAAAAACTCTTTTTATTCTAGAAGAGGGAAATATAAAAATGTCTTTTTCATATAATTATATTAAAAAATGTGTTAGTATGTTCTCTCATATTACAGCTGTTAGAACGTTTTTTTAAGCCACTGACTTAAGAGCTTTTCTTTTCTTCCTCATTTTTTCCTAATTAATTTCTGTTCAACCAAAGAATTCTTTCCTTTTATGGCTTCTGGTATCATGGCACTGCCTTCATCAAATGAGCATGCCCATTTCTGAGCTCTGCCCTTTAAAAAAAGCGGGTGGGAGGGGGGCACAAAGGTTTCTAAGAAGGAGGCTTTCCCATTTGGATGTCTGTCCTCATTTGGGGAGAGTTGGCGAATTTACTATCCCCTTCAAAAATTTTAACCTCCTTTGACTCAAAGAAGGACAGTGCTGGTACCCAGAGGAACATAATCTTTTAAAGCTACTAACAGCTCCACCAACATGGTCATATAGGAAAGCATCTGGTCTTAATAAATTTACTACATGAGTTCTGATAATAGTCTTGCTTTTGTTTATAATTATTTGCCAAATACATTTAAGAAAAGAACTAGAATGAATTTAGAATGTTGTTTTTCTTCAAAAGATTTCTGTTCTTGTATTTTCTCATATTTATTTTAGATTTTGTTTATACTTTAAATACCCAGAATTAATGAGGTTTTCTTATGTACTTTGCAAAGTTTACAGACCATTATTTTTAATCTCTTTTTTCTTTTTATGCTTTGAATAACTGCTTTTCTTTTTAAAGAATAGGGAAGAAAAGTCTGTTGAATTAAATAATATAGTCAAACAACTGCTCTTTTTACACTACAATCACTTCACTATTAAAAAAAGGCAAAGCATAAAACTGAACTAATTACATTTATTAGAGATCTGAAGAAGCGGTGCTATCTCTGCCAATACCTCCTACCTCCACCCTCACACCAACTGCCTGAATTTTAGAAAATCTGGAGAAATGAGGTGTCTAACACAAATTATTCAACAGGGTAGGACCATATATATATATATATATATATATATATATATATATATATATATATATATATGATGCATTAGTATATTTCTTACCCAAAGTATCTAAGCTCAGATAAACAGAAGTTTTTAAAAATCCATCTATCTCACTGACATGAATTAGCACTTAATTAAGACAAATGCAGTGATCAGTACTGATCCAGAAGTCAATACATTGGCTGTGTGAAATCTACTCCTTCTGTGCATATAGACATGGTTTAACATTACTTTCCGGTAAATAACATGTAATAAATGTAAGAAGTTCCAGCAAAGTAAGTGATCTTCTCCTATTAAAAACAAGCAAATTATCTTCTATTATTAAAAATATAAACACATTTTCCTTCTCTCTGAATTCAAAGACATCGATATATACATATTAGAAGTTATGGTTGAAACAGGTGAATTTTGTAAAAGGAATAATTAAAACTATGTATATATTTTATATATTTTAAACATGATCATATATCAGTTTCATCCAAGTATTTTCATCTCTTGGCCCCATCAACCTACTAACCTACTTTCTCTACATTTTAACAATTATTGACAAAAGATTAATATGAGTATGTTTCATCTCCTGTGGACTTGTGTACACACACACATGCACACACACTTGCATGAGTGTGCACACACATAGGAACCTGAACACATGAAACAATCATTGTAATACTTGAGGTCAAAAACACCATTTAACAAAGACAGTTTTTCTTTTCTTTTAATTAATTGTGTAATTTTCCCATTTCAGTTTCCATATATATATAAAGGAAGCCTAACTATGTGCTTATACTTATCGTTCAGGCTAGAATCCATTACTTTAATTATCTTAGAATGAGCAGAAAAATCTAATGTATTGGTAAATGTAGTTCTCTTAACAGAAAAGCAGATTTTAAAGGCATTTTCATTTTCAAACTAAGCTGGACATTCCATGTTTTCTATGTACAACCGCTGTTTCATTTTGAATCACTTTGGCACACTGCGAAGCGTATGCACTATTACAAGAGGTCAAGTTTTACTCAGTGAATCGATTCAACAGAAGAAGCAGAAATTTCCACAGAGGGAAGGAAATTGCCTTAAAGTCAGCTGGCATCGTTTTGTTTCAGCTTCTGGCTCTGAATGGTGGGACCAAGTACATACAGTGCTCTGTGCTACTTTGAAGAGCAGGAGGCTTGAAGGGCTGTTAGAAAGAGTAATGATGGAATTGTAACTGACGCACTCTCTGTCTGGTGAGACTACTCAGAAAAGACTAACAAGATTGCAATGACTAAAAGGCCTTTGTTGTCTAGGTAAGAATGAAAGTTTTTTTTCTTTTTTAGTTCTTTGCTCAAATGCTGAGCTTAAATTCATAAAAGCCAAAGATTCAGAGTGACTTACTGCCTTTGATCAGATTCCCAATATAGTCTAAATAACAGATCATTGTAAAGAATATGTAAAACAGTTTCTGTTCAAACAGTGATAAGTGCTTGAAAAGAACGCTCTATTTATGCTATGGTGCCTTCAACTTAAAACTTTGTTCAGTTGCTGATCAGAAGCCGAAGATGGCACTAAAGTTAATAGAACTGAGAAAATAGGTTACATTGCTTGGATGACTATGTCGATAAAAGAAAGTAAATGAGATGATTTTAAGACTGATGGAAGACACCCCAAGCCACATTTGCAATCCGTTTTTTGACAGCTTCTGTCCTCCTTCCAAAAGTCTGAATAAAATAGATTTTTTTTTTTGACAGAGTTTTGCTCTTGTTGTCCAGGCTGGAGTGCAGTAGCGCAGTCTCGGCTCACTGCAACCTCCACCTCCCGGGTTCAAGCAATTCTCCTGCCTCAGCCTCCTGAGTTACTAGGATCACAGGCGCCCACCACCATGCCCAGCTATTTTTTGTATTTCTAGTAGAGACGCAGTGTCATCATGTTGGCCAAGCTGATCTTGAACTCCTGACCTCAGGTGATACACCTCGGCCTCCCAAAGTGTAGGGATCACAGGTGTGAGCCACCACGCCCGGCCAAAATAGAGGTTTTTCACATGATTATAACAAAATAATTTTAGCTCAAGAAAGAAAAAAGACTAATCTTTCTACTCATCAAGACTATCTCATTTCTTCTCTGTGAGGATTAGCTAGGTAGTTCCATCTGTATCTCCTTCACAAGACAGAAAATACTGGGTCCTATATGACAAATCATAGCAGTAGGCTGGCTATGTTTATCTTGAAAAGGTTTGGCTAAATTTTAAAACATTTTAATTTTTTCAGACACTAAAAATTCACATTAAAGCAATAAGAAATCCACTCCTTTTCTCAAAAAAAAAAAAAAAAAAAACTCAACCATGCATCTCTTCATAGTTGTAATTTATTTTTGGCATCATCAAATGCGTTTTATTAAGTGCTTACATCTGTGATGAAAGGGCAATTTTTGGAAATTTTTGGTGCTTTCATAAGATTTTATCTTGCTTCTATATCAAACTGAAAACTCTTTAAAGAAAGAAACATCCTATGTAACTCCCCAGAGGCCCAGTGGAATTATTTGCGTACTCAATAAAAGGATTTGATTAACTTCTATTCCAGAAATTTCAGTCTTAGAAACCTAGAGATCTACTGGGAATGAATTTGTAATAATCTTCTAGTACAGCCTGCTTAAAAATCTTTGTTGTACAAAAATCTCTGCTTGTCTAACCTATAGTACTCTTGCTGTAATTTCTAACCAGCTGCTATAATATTATTAAACTTTTTGAAGTTGAGGAATCAAACTGCTGGTCAGCTTTTTACAAAACTTACCAAATGCTTCTTTTGGAATAATAAAACAGACCTACCACTTTCTATATCAAGATGAAAACATATAACTATTGGTTTTTTTATATAAATGTAGAAAAGGCCACTTGTAGTTTTAATATAGAATATATTTTTAACTTTACTAAACTCAGACATTTGAGAATACTCATATGTTTGCTATTTATTCCCCACTGAAGACTAGAATGTAAAAGACCAAGTAAACTAGAACACTTGAATAAAAAACAAATATGTAAAATAAGTACGTGTGGTATTAATATAATATGATCTAGATAAGGTTAGCTGCTTTTTCAGAAATAACTTCCACAATCTTAGTATGCTTCTACTTGGGACAGTTCTGTAAATGTGCACATGGTTGAGGACGCAGTAAAAACGAAAATGCTGATAAAAAATGGACATATGTTATCTGGTCTCTCAGTATGTTAAACTTCAGCTGGAATAACTAGAAAAGAAGGAAAGGAAATTATCCTTCCCCAATTCATTCCTTATCATTCCTGGAGACTTCCCTTGAGTTCACGGGAGTAGAAATTATTTCTCCCAAAGTAGTCCTTGGTTCCGCAACTGCATACGAATGAATCATAATCAAGGTCCCTTCCTCAAGCAAGAAAAATGAACTAGGCCCTCAGCTCCAGCTCCTTTGAGCATGAAAGCAAGCACTCCTTTAAATAACTGGTTAAACAGTGGAACATCTTCTAGGTGGGTTCTGGCTTGATTAAAGTAGCCTTCAGTGTTTCTCAAAAAATTCTGGTTTCTTCTCAAATGCAGTTCTATTGCTTTCCCTGAGCTATGGGAAGAGTATAAATAATAATAATAAGAAGAAACAAAATAAAATAAAATGCTGTTCTAATCTTTGAAAACCAAATTTCACCCTTAATTTTCTGCAACTCCCTATTTTTTCAGTTGCTAATATAAATTAACTGTTCCTCCAATTTCATCTAATATTCTCATCAAATTGATGTATATTTCTCCTAACCAGAACAAAGAGTTTGTCCTGTAAACATATACTTCTTACCCATGTTGTCTTATTTTTTGTATACCATAAAAGTTAACCAAGTATTTAATTCAAATTCCATGTTCCAAAAAGGGTTTGTCCAGGGTCTTCCTTAGCTAATCATAATAGACTGTTGGTACACTGAGTTTAAATTGTATTACTTGTTTGTTTGCAACATTTGGATAATTATAAAAATCAGTGATATTTAAAATAACTAACAATGTGCCTTGTAGGTACTTTTTACACGTGTACTCTAACTTCATCCTTCCAACAACCTGATAAGGCAGGCATTTTAGAGGGGTAAAGATAGAGGTTCATAGAAGTTACCTGCTTAAGAACACACAACAGTTAAACAGTGGAACTAAGCTGATAACTCAGGGCGTCTAGGTTCAAAGTCATGGCCTTAGACATCACTGCTTTAGCAGGCAGGCTCATACTTCTGTCATTTAGAATAATTAGATCATCAAGAGATGCATATAACCTGATAAGTCATTCTCCTGGTGCAGAAATACGCTATGCCTGTATCAGAACCATTCCAAGGTGACCCTCCATTTTTCCATTTAGTGCCCTTATCTTACCTCCTGGACCCTCTGCTGATACCAAGAAATCCTTGCCTTCATATTTTCTGTGCCTCATCACCCTGAATCCATTCTTCCCTTCATACATGACAAAATTTGGTATTTAACATTAAGTTCAAGCTTAGAAATAACTGACCAGTAGATATTAACATTTTAATAGGCGGTAGTTCATTCACCCAAAATCAGAATGAAATTCTATTGGCATCATAGAATAATAGAAGAGATTCTTGAAAAAACGGGCTGCCCTTGAAATGATATATCCCAGAAAACACCCCGCCCTTTGTTAAAATCACGTCTGAAATTTTCTTATCCTTTCTCATTGCTGATCTAGGTGGATACAACCATCCAGTTGGACACTGCAGTGTTTTCCATCAGCAACAATTCCCCAATAGAAGAAAGATAATTTTAAAAATGCATGCTAGAATTTCCTTATATCAGTCAGAAAACTGTTTCTATCCTGAACATATGGGCATGTGCTCACTCATTCCTGTTTTAAAGTCAAAGGACATACTACCTATCGAATTTTTTCAAAAACAAAACTAAAAACAAAAATTAAAAAAAAAAAACAGGACATTAGCCAGAAACAGTGGAACATTTACAACTGATTTATTTTTTATGAAATATCAGTGATTGATTATGCAGTATACTATAATTTGACACTTACCAAATGCACTATGAAAGTAAAGCAATGCTGAAGATAAATAATCTAACAACATATAATACCTATATTGTAAACAGTCATCTTGAATTTGCAAAGGTGTTCTGCACATTATGGGTAAGTCAATGAGAATGACCACTCGGCTCTGCTGAAAATCAGTTAACTATTTTAAAGTAAACATCTACCACAGGGTCAAACTGCTAGGATTTTATATTATATGATGTAATTTCCTTCCAGAATATTACATTCTGCTACTTTACATTTTTCTTAACAGGTTTGATTAACTTTATAAAAAGGTGGTCAAATACTGAGCATATTAGGTGTTTGGTTTTGATCTCCTCACTAATACTGGTTTTGTTAAGAAGCTGAGCTCCGCGGCTCCCGCAGATTAAAAAGAGGAAAACAACTAAAGCCTCCCACGGGAGGGCCCCCTCTTTCAGCAGAAGATTTGGGGACCGTTCTCATTCATACTCAGTCACAGTCAAATGCCTTTTAAGGGTGTTAGTTTAGTAAGCCATAACAGAGCTTTGGTTTTCTATTATTTCTTATTGTTAGGTTCAAGGTTCAGGGGGAACAGCAAAGGGAGAAATGAAACAGTCCTGATTAGTTATGTATACGGAATGCCTGATGGTCACTCCTAAGAAAGGTGTTTCATTCTTACTGTTTTATTAGTTGGTTGCTGCGTTTTGATTTGTTTTAACACCACAAAGCAGGCTCATATGTCCATGTAGATAAGAAAAACTAGGTTATCTCTAGTAAATTAAAAAAAAAATCACCAAGAATTCTTATCATTTCTCAGCCTTTTGGCTGTGATCAAGTGAAGAATTCTTCTTCAGTCAGGTGACAGCCAGAAATATGTATATATATTTATGTAATAAAATAAAACAAAATAAAAATTAATAAATTGATGTGATTTGTGAAGAGGAAGAGCAATGAAATTGTTTTAATGAAAGAAATTAAAGTTAATGTAGTTTCTACTACAGGTACTTCTGAAAAAAAATGACTACTATCAAGAAGGACAATAGGCCAGGAGCCATAGCTTATGCCTGTAATCCCAGTACTTTGGGAGGCCCAGGTGGCAGGATCACTTGAGCCCAGGAGTTCAAGACCAGCCTGGGCAACATAGTGAGACCCTGTCTCTACAAAAAGAAAAAAAAAAAAAGAGAAACAATAAAATTAATTTATATTTCTACATGCATAGTGAACTGAATATATTAAAGTTAAAAAAGCCTGGCCATTTACTCATATAGAATGACTTTATGAAACTCATCTAAATTAAAGAAGTATTAAAAAAATACTACTCTCTTTACTATATAACATCACCAGATGCTATGAAGGTAGATGGGAAGATTTAATCACTGCATAAATTTATGCTAAAGAAAGATGTCAAAGCAGGATTTCAAAAAGATAACTAAAGTGTAACAGCAGATAAACATCATATTAACTAGGGGAAAAACACAGAGGCAAGTAATGCAGACACATGGGTGAGATTATCGTCCTCCATAAATATGTAACTAAACATCAACATTTTCCAGTTCAAGTCATTTGGTGAAAAGCAAGGAAAAACAAGCATTAAAATGTTATGAATGAAAATAAACTTTGTAAAGCAGCATTTTGGAAAGTTCACGTTAAGAAAACTAATTCAAAATTCAGATTTAAAAAAAAAAAACTCTTCGATTTTTTTTTTACCCTGAAAGTAGGTTTTATTTAAATTTCTAGTGCATGTGCAATTCCAACTATTAAAGACTTCTGCCCCACAAATACTTAAGTAAGTACATAAAGCAGGCTGTAACTTAGGGAAGTGGATTCCTGCCCTTAGTACAAAGCCCATAGAGACTACCTAATCTCCTGGGAGAAGAACACAAAAATGGATCTGAATATGAGGTCTGAAAAAATGACAAAGGTGAGGGTTTTCTGACTAAGCCACATACATATTCTAAACTAATATAAAAGTTTAAAATTAAAGAAGCATCTTATACCATAATATTAAATTTGACTTATATTTCAAACATAAACAATATTTAGAAGACAAAAACAACACTGAAAAACTTCCTGTTTCACAAATACACACACAAAAATGCTTTTTGAACTTGAAAGTTGAATCAAAGGATTAAGTAAATGTGTTCCGTGAGAGGGAAATGACAGTTTCAGAGCAGAGATTACTTTGAGGTTTTCAGTACATTTTGTTGTTCTCTTCTATAAACTACCATAGTCTATTTTGTAAGAATGAAATGTTTAATAATAGATACACTGCTTTTTAAAAATTTTAGTTCTATTATATATTGTGATAAAGTATGCAACAGTGATTCTTAAATTGCCTTTAAGGATATAGCAGTTGAATCGAGAAATGCCTCTACAGTACTGTCTTTCATTCCAGCTGTGGAAGAGAGGGATGTTTTAAAATTAATTCAATGCAAAAACAAGACCATGCACTGCTGACTCACTCTGGTGTGGGTTCATCCTGGCCATAGGTTCCAAGTGAGTTTAAATGAACAGGCATTATGTAAATGGGCACTGCTGAATAAAAGGCAGCTGCTCTCTTGTACTAATCCAAAGCCTGGGGTGCTTTTAGAGCAGGCTGGAGACAATCCCAGACACCTGGCTTTTGAAAGACCACCAGGGGAATAAATAAAAGGGGTCCTTAAAAGCATTTTGAAATGAAATCTAATTTAAATACAAGATTTAGATATGTTTTGCTCAGCAATTTTTACGGTTTATTTTAGTTATTTAATACAAAAATTCTCACCTTAAAGGCACTATACTGTTCTTCAGTCAGCAAATACTTAGGAATTAAAATTTAAAAAAGGAATTCGTTGAAAACAGCAGATTTCACTTATTACTCTAAAATATACACTCTGGTACATTTCCTTCATTCCAATATTGACTTCTGCTTTTAAATATCTGGAACAGAAAATTTACAGATGTATACAGGTGAAGTTTCATAACTGCATCACCTGTTTAAGAAGCTGATATACAAACATTAACTAGAAAACACTTTAGAATGCTTACATTGTCCCAGGGTAAAATACAGAGTCATTTTAAATGTCTGGAGAAAGTTAGAAGCTTCAAACACACTGTAGGAAAATGATGATGGAGTTGTTTTATTTTTTTAAGAAACAATTATGTAAGGAGTTTGACTTAATTTTTTCAAACCATTTAGCTTAAATATTCCACAGCTAACAAAATTACTGTTATTAAATTTAGAAGGGAAACAATACACATATTATGAGAAATTACACGACCTAAAACAAGAGAATCCCTGAACATGCAAGACACAGATTCTACGCAGTGTTAGTACGTGTGTTTGTAGGTTCATATTTCTTTAATTCTATTAAACTTGTCCATGGGGGTTAGCTACTGTCACATTGTTTGAATCACTACAAAAGCCACAGAGAAGAGCAACAGTGTTGTGAAGGTAATGATCTTTCACTGGCCTCTCAGGAACTGGTTGTAAAATTTATTAGGAAAGTTCTATCCCTGGGCTACATAATTTTTTGGTGAGGCAGTAGAAATTGACGCCATCTATCTAAAAGAATAAAGTGGGCCATTTAGTTATCTGAATGTTCTCAGCCACCACAAATCCTGAAGACATTTGGTGTTATTAAAGGCATAGAAGTTTGAGTTATAGATGGGCAATTCGATCACGTATTTAATAGCTGATATGTATTAAATAGGGTGCTCTATTTTGTAGGATGAAACATAATTACAAAATACCAATCCTGCAGGGGCTAGGGGGTTGCTGATAATCTATTAGGAAGATGCATACATCCTGCATACATACAACACTTTGGAAGAGTGCTTTAACAGGAGCTAACTCTTAAAGCAAAAAAAAAAAAAAAAACAAAAACCAAAACATATAAAATATTGGACAAAAGTTTATGACTTTTCGTCTTTTGCCCATAGATTAAATCCCTTGACTTCTCAGGAATCATTTAAATGTTGTCTCATCTGAATTTCAAAACTTTCAATAAGAGCAGGACACAGTGGCTCATGGTTGTAATCCCAGTACTTTGGGAGGATAAGGTAGGCAGATCACTTGAGCCCAGGAGTTCAAGACCAGCCTGGACAACATGGTGAAACCCTGTCTCTATGAAAAATAAACAATTTAAATAAGTAAAACAAAAAAACCTTTCAACAAGCAACATCACTTAAGTAGTTTTGAGGGTAGAGCAAAAAAAAAAAAAATATATATATATATGTATGCCAAATATGTCCCCATTTTAAATAAATTTTTTTTCATTTCAATAATGAATCAAAGATCATTTGTAATTGCCTAATTTGATAATTTTCAGGGTGGTTCCATAGCAGAAATGCCCCAAAACAGTGAATCAGGAGCATCAGGCTGGCTGAAGACCAAGGGCAGCGGGTAGAGCCAGGGCCCGGGGACATGCTCCTCTGAGTGGCTCTGTGTACTGATGCTAAGCAGGAACTCCAATGCAGCCGGGCAGAAGAATGTGTAAGATATTTTTTAGATTGAGAAAGTGAAAGTGTTTGGGGCTACTTCATCTGGCGCAATTGTGGGGTGATCACACATTAAAAATAATGAAATGTATCATTGGGTCTTGGTGTCTGAATCTGGCAATGCAGATGGTAACACCTCGTGCAAGACAAAGGGGAACAAGAAGCCGTTATTAAGCACCACCTGAGCACCAGAGCACAGCGGCTTCTGCTCCGTGCGGGTCCCCATGTGGGTGCTTACAGGCTCATCTCATTCATAATTGATTTTCATGGGTCACCTTTTCCTCAAAGTAGCTTCCACTATCATCTCTAAAATTTGAATGTCTGTCCTGTCCATCTCCTAGGTCATGAATAAAACAGTACACTGACTGGGTACAGGTGGCTCATGCCTGTAATTCCAGCATTTTGGGAGGCCAAGGCAGGCAGATCACCTGAGGTCAGGAATTCGAGACCAGCCTGGCCAACATGGTGAAACCTCATCTCTACTAAAAATCAAAAAAAAAAAAAAAAAAAAAAAAAATTAGCCGGATGCTAATTTAGTAGTCCCAGCTACTCAGGAGGCTAAGGCTGGAGAATCGCTTGAACCTAGGAGGTTGCAGTGAGCCGAGATCACGCCACTGCACTCTAGCCTGGGTGACAGAGTGAGACTCCGTCTCAAAAAAACAAAAAAAGAAAAAAAAGTATACCAAATTTTAAAAATTTATATGTAAAAAGAGTTCTGCTAACTAAAACATTATGTAAATGTTGGTGACTGTTTTAACAAATAATTACGAGTTTATTTTAAAATTTGTCATTCTGAAAGAATATTCATTTTCAAACCAAAAAATATTCTATGTTTCAATTTCTATAATAACAGTAATAATAATGAACACATCTTGAGTGTTATGTACCAGGTACGATTTCAACATGTTTACATATGTAAACTCTGTAAGCCTCATTACAAATCTATGAGGTAAGCAACATTATCATCTCCTTTTTAAACACAGTGACACTGAATCACACAGAGGAGGTAATCTGCCAAAAGACACACGGTGGTGAAGCTGTAATTCAAACACTGCTAGTTCATTTTGAAGCCCACGCTCTTAACCAGTATGCTACTCCGCCCCTCAAATGTGCCATTTATATATTCATTCATTCTCTGAACATCATTTATTACACGCCTTCTATAGACGAGGCCCTACACTCATTGTGTCTTTTCTGTGTGATACAAGTCTAACAGTATGTGACCTTAAAGAATGGTATTTATCCTGTCCACAAGACCTAACTCACTAACGAAATCATTAACTAAACTATAAACGATAACTAAAAACATTACTAACGAAAATATTGTTCAAGGCATAGTTAATGTTGATCAAATGAGTCATCCACCTGCAACACTAAATGGCCGGAGCTACCGTACTGCAATGTGCAGCGGCGGCAGGGTGGGGGGCGGGGGTGTCATTCCAATTGTATCGAAAAGCCTCTACTCTCAGAGCCACTGAGCCATCATCCCAGTGTTCCGCATGCACCCACGTGCACACGACATGCAAAAGCGTGTTGGCTTTCTATGGAGATGGTTAACCAAGCTACTTTTCAAATTTAGGGGTTCAGCAAACCAATTACACTGGTTCTTCCTACACTGCCCTCATGAAGACAAACTTGGCTAAGCCTTACAGTGGCAATCAACTTCAATAGACACATCATTCCAGCATCATCTGGCCTTATACCAGGGGAAGAAACTGACAATAAGACAGTCAAAACCTGTCCTGTGCTGTCGGTATCTCCTTGGCAGGGGAAAAAGCAGGAGGGTCGCCTCTTAGTTATTTTCAGATGTTTTAAGTAGGCCACGCTCCTATGGGTCTGCCCCTTCATTCTGGTAGCACTTCTGTACAAGCACCCTGAGGAATCTTACCTTTAGAATTACGCAGTGGATAAATGAAAAGAATACCACTGAAAAAACAGCTTGCAAAACATCTCTGTGCATTCACTAGCATATAGACTTTTTATGGTTTGCAAATACTTGTGTGTATATATATATATATATATATTTTTTTTTTTTTAATGAAGCAGAGCAGAGGCCTGAGGTAACAAAGGTAAAAAGGAGACTCATCTCAAGTGTTCAGTATCACTCATTCAACAGAACATCAAGGCTTGGCCAGCTGCCAATAAAAATCTCTTTAAAAAAATCATAGGTTGCAAGGAGCCACTAAGAAAATTAATTTCTGACACAGTGAAAAGACAAAATATATTATGATCATGTTATCAGCCTCAAAATGCATTTTCTGAAATGTTGTTATGTGCCTGGACGTATTTAATCCTCACACCTGCAAACCCAGAGAACAGATTGCAAGTTCATTACACTGTTTGCAGCCTTTAAAGGATTTTTTTTCCTAGAGATAATATGTAACAAATATTTCAGTTGAAATAATGAAAATATCAATACTTGTAATAAAACTTTTCTTTAAAAAAGGAATTAAAAAATGAAAATGAGTGAAATAAAAATGTTTTTCCCTTCCCTTTAGACATTCTTTCAATTAGAAAGGAGACCAAACTTAAATTATAGCTACCAATTAATTTTTCTGCTCTGGAAAGTGAAATAAGCATCTTTCATTAAATTGGATATTAAAGCTCATTGGTTATACAAGGAATCTCCAGATTAATGGACTAGAGTTCTCCAGTTTCAATTATTTTCTTGATTTTCTAATACGCATTCAACTGCCTCCACCTCCCTGGTGGGGCTCTATCTGACCCCAAGTATTTAACTGTTTCCAATATTGTGGGTCATTCAGGTGAGCTTAAGGGGCATAACCTCCCTGTTAAAGTGTGTGTTTGTGTGTGTGTGTGTGTGTGTGTGTGTGTGAATTAGTAGCTAAGGAAGCTTTCCTTAGATGAAATCAGAAGAAGAGAAAAAAAAAAACACAAAAAGAGTGCCTACAAAAGTAGGCAGCTATCCAGAGCTTTTTTTTTTTTTTTGCAGCCACATACATTTAGATTTGTGTTTCAAGAATCCCAGAAGAATGAGGAAAAACAAAGAATCAGTTCCGAGTTAATGCTGTATATAAATTACATTTCTAATAGATGATCTATGTTTGTTTGAATTTTCATGAATATATTAATTTAAGAAATAATTCTTACTCTTAGAGACACTACCCTTAGTATCCAAATGTATTTAGTTAATGGATAAAGAGAAATTTCCCGCGATGACATAATTTGGTCATCAAGATAAACATCAAGATAAAGATAAATGTAGAGCACAGTGTTTAAGTAAATTAATCTTAATTTCTGTGTAAAACAATTTTTTAGTTATCAATTTGCATAAAGTCTGCTTTTTAAATGTTTTATGGCTTACAAGAAAGTGACTAAAGCATATTAATACAAAATAGCATTTTTTTCTATTTTGTACCACCAAAGAAGCAATCCAAAAGTCAAGATTTATAATATATTACATAAAAATCATCCATACTCCAGACATAGCTATAGAGAACTTACATACAAGAAAAATTGGTCTCAACATTTATCCACATTATCTTTAAACCTCCTGGAGATACTCCATGTGTGAAGTTGTCACCTTCCTTTCGCTGCTGGATTTACGTAACAAGCTGTATATGTGATTTTTCTCTATTTCCCATATCTCAGGACTCATTTCCAACCCCAGTGTCAAGTTCACGGGCAGATGATACCCATTTCCTCCTAATCAAGTATAAAGGCTCTCCTCCAAACTTCATTCTTCACAGCCTTCGGTATAGGCTGTCGGTCTTCCTATTTTGAAACTTCCTGGCCACATAGGATTATATCCGTGCACCTGACCTTGATACTTTTCCAAACTCCATAACCATGGCTTCCACTCCCATTCCTCATCTTTTTATTGGTTCCTAATTGAAAGCTTTACTCAAATTTTAGTCCTTAAGTCCTTGTTCTTTTATCTCTTTCCAGGGACAAATTTATTCTCAAGGTTTAACCACAACTTCCTACTAAATGCACATCACCAAAAATTCTGATGTGTTTTCCCTGAACTCTTGTCACAAATCTTCAAGTCCTACTGAATGTTCACTCTGACATTGCATTGTCATCTTAGATGCATGAAGGTGGGAGCCAAGGTCTGTCTTGATCACTTCCGAGCTGTAGGTGTCCAAGTGCTGCCTCTTAGGTGCTGAACCCTTATGTGTGTGGCACATCATAAACATTTGTTGACTCCATAAATATTTTAAGATTACTTGTCATTCTCCACTCCCATTTGACAGAAACATAAAAGTTCATTAAGACAGTGAGATTGGGAATAAATAGCTTTTTGTTTTTAACATTTATTCTCAGAATCCAGGATAAAATCTAGTAATCTTCATGGGATTCTTCCTGTCCATTCACGTAGCCATATTCATGTGGTCACAAAGTCAAGTCAACTGCTCATGTTTATTCATGTTGGTATGTAAGAAAGAACTGTTAAATTTACTCTGCATTGGGCATATCCATTTCCTAATATTGCAGTAAGGATTCACCAAGATATTCACTACTATTACTTTGAAACTAAACTCTGTATATTTTAATACAAGATCTTTACCACCCTGGTAAATGTTTCTGGGTGGCAGAAACATATCCACCAAGATATTCTGTTTCTCATTATTTTTAACATGGTCTTTGCATATAGTAGGACTCGATTGGTAACTTTCTGAAAGTATGAATAAATAATTTTAAATTCAGCCAGTAACTTTATGATTATAGTTTCTCGGTTTTTCAGATGCCTTGATTGCCAGTGGCCAAAATAATCAATAAAAACATTTTGAGTATAGGGTTATTCTCCAACACAATTTAGAAGACTGATTTCTTAAATAGTATCTTGTGCATTTGGTTCACAAAATCTTATCACAGCCAGGGAACGAATGAAGTCAAATTTCTAAGGTTGAGTACTAAACAAAGGATACATGGTAGCTACTCAGAAAGAGCCTAAAGCAGCAAACCAACTTCATCTTTCATGAAATATCTCCTTTGGTACCGAATTAGATACTGTTTTGTATTGCAAACTTTAATGGACGTGTCTTATCTCACTTTGAAGACTGACAACTGTTTGCAGTCTTTCCCTCCCCACACAGTCCTGACTGTGCACTTACTAGGTCTGCAGTATACCCTTCTTAAATACACATCCAGTGTTAATGCCAGATTAACATGTGTTAGTAAATACAAATTCAAATTTATAAAAACTGAAATGATATCCTATGGAAAACCCATGTACAACACGACAGACATTTCACAGAGAGCTAAATATTTATAATGGTGTACTACAAAAGCCAATTTAGATGTCTCGGTTAATATTTTTAATTATGTCAGCTCATGAATATTTTATATCAAATCACTTCTTTCTCCTTGCCAAATGAAAATGATCATAACATAAGACCTCTTTTGAAGTCAAAACAGACCCTTTCCTAATAAGGTACAATAAAGAAGAAAAAAAAAATCAAAGATACAGAAAATTTAAATATTTTCTATATATTCGTAGTAAACCTAAGCACGGTTTATAAAAATCAGTTATTAAGCCATGAAAATTCATTTTAAACTATTTAATAGTCTTGTGATATCAACTTAGCCACTTTTAGTAAGACTTTTACAACACACTATTTATTAAACTTTTGTTTTTTATCTGAATGTTCTAAAATCAAGCACTCGAATGATGAGAACCATAGTCTTTGGTGTGGAAAACATACTTGGCACTGAACTATGTTGTGCATTACAACCAATCTATCTGGGTTATAAATTTTAAGTTAAAAATAACTACCCAAGAGACTGAGAGACTGCGGTAGGAGGATTGCTTGAGCCCAGGAGTTCCAGGTTACAGAGAGCTATGATTGTGCCACTGCATTCCAGCCTGGGCAACAGAGTGAGACCCTGTCTAAAAACCAAAACAATAAATTTGTGGAAAATAGAAAGGCTGCTAAACACATTTTTAAAAACAGAAATGAGACAACACTCGGCTCATACAAGAAAAAAACAGAAAGAGGTTTCTATTAGGGAAAGGGATTGAAAGGAGAAGTAGGAAAATGCCAAAAGTATAATATGACTAGCTCCCTGATTTAATCTTGGGCTCATAGACTAATTAAATATAACAGTATCTAGTAACTCAGGGAGACATTATGCTTTTTAATTTATTAAACATACTAATTTAAAAGCTCATGTACATTTACTTACGTGGTATTAATATATTTTTGTGTTACTGCCTTGTTAGCTGAAAGCTACTTTTTATTCTGTTGGAAGCAGGCAATACTTCCTGTAAAAATTTTATGGGTCAGAACTCAGTGAATTAAAGGTATTTTTCAAATTTATTAATAAAATTTCTTTGATTTTTAAAGCATGTATTGACCCTGATGATCACTCTACAATAGCTGTTATGGGAATAACATTTAATTTTGCCATGCAAAACTACCGATGATGTATTTTAAATAGTAAGAAGCATCAAAAGTCGCATTAGATAGTTTTAATTGAAAAGAAAAAAAACTCACTTAAAAATATTTTATGTACCAGCTCAACATAACACATGTACATCATCACTGAAATTTTACTTTGCCACTTAACATTTTCTGTGATTTATCTAATGAAATTAGCTAATGTGATTTTATTATTGCAATTTCTGCTATAAATCTTACAGGAGCTTTGTGGTTTTTTTTCTTTTTACTTGGAAAAAGATCAAAATGCTTGCAGACTTCAGATTGCTATTAGATGTAATAATTATACACTAAACTAATTACCATTAACCAAAACCTGACTTACAACTAATTAAATTTTATTACATCATCATAGAGTGTAGGCTTTCAATTTAACACAGGGCACAACTATAAACACAAGAGTCTATCAGCGTGTATATTTATTTCAAGTAAAAGGCGTAGATCAGATTTATAAAGTTTGAATTTGGCAGGGTTTGTAAACCAATTTGTCAATTTCACAAATCTGCTAATTTGCCAACTTCTAAGGAGAAAGAAAGGTGCTACTTGCAAAGCAAATACACTGGATTACACCATAATAGTTTAGACAATAGCTAAATGCATATTATACAAATATAACTACGTTATAGAAGAAAGTATGAAATGCAATGAAAAAATCATTTATTTTCAGTTCAGAGGTACATTCTATTTGTGACATCACTTATCTGACATTACCGACATACAAATTGCCAAGCCCTAGTTTCTTCTGTGCAAAACAAGTAACAACATGTATGCTATCTTAAAGGAATGAAAGACATATGAAACACAGAATCCTTAGCTGACATGAAAGTGCCAATTTGTTTACTGTTCAAGGAACCAATGAAGATCAAATGGCAAAATCAGTTGCGATCTAGTATGCATCTCAAAACAGTGGCAGAATCTCCATTCATTCTTCAATGAAAGTACACTTAAATTTGTCATTCACAACAATCGGAAACTATAAGCGATTCACTTTATAAACTTTAATTTTATAAAAAATGTTTACTTTCTACCAGATGGTAAGATTAAATTACAAAAACACTGTCAGCAAGTTGAATCCTCAGATGTATTCATTCCCACCACAGAAGCTTCAAAACCTGTCTATAATTTTGTTACTGATGTTTAGAAACAGCTGTAGCTGACATAGCTACATGTTATATATGTCAGCTTTAAAGGATTAAATATTCTTAACCCCCACAGGAGAGGTCTTTTGCTGTTAACAAACGCCAATGTAAATTACACCGGAAGTTATTACTGTAGTAGAGATATCTCACACTACATTATTTGGTAAACAAAATGGTCAAGAGTCACACGTTTCTCATTATTACTGGAAATTCTGTTTGACTTGGGCAAAAGAAAGATTTTAAATTCACAGCACTTTCTGATAATAAATATAAGATAAATTCTCCTCTAAAAAGCTCCTCACATATATCTTCATTCATATTTTAGGTGGTAGTAAATTATATATTTTTCTCTTCAGAAGAATTCAATCCATCTCAGGAGACTTCTTTTCCTCGTGCAGATTTTTACTTGAATTTTTGGGAGAATCCTGCTGTCTCTCCCATTAGAGTTGAAAAGTATCTTTACAATAAACATTCAAAACTAATGGTAGAAACAGCAGGATCTTCTGAAATGCTATACCCCAAATTTTGTACTCAGTTAAGCTATCTAAAGGAACAGAACCAACCTGACTCGCCAGACTGCAGGCTTCAAAAATCACTTGGTTTATGAATTAATCTCATTAATTTTCAAGAACCACAGATTAATAGTGGTCAAATGTACAGATCTTAGAAGATGGCATTCATTCACACCCACGTGTGTGTGTGTGTGTGTGTGTGTGTGTGTATGGCATGATTATATGACATATATCTGTCCATATACGTTTTCCCTCATATAGCTGTCACTTTTAAACATCAGTCACTTTGGACCATGTGAATGATTTTTTTAAGCCTGTAAGTATACATATAAACAAATATTCTAAAAAATTGGGCAAATACAATTAATTGTATACAGTGTGTTATTTTTTCAGAACATATACATGAATTTTTTTCAGAAGATATAAATGAAAAATGGCCAACATAAATGAAGAGATAAAATGGGCTAACTGTTGAGCAGCACTAAGAGATATCCACTTAGAGAAGAAAATTCAACACAAATTTCCAAAATTAATGCAATTATCCATACCTATAATTCATGTTCATTTAAAGTTACATCTTAAACTTTTATATACAGTATAATAATTTTATGCAAATGACTATGGTGGGGATAAGTCTCAATACTATATTAACAACAGAGACTTTTAGAGATGCTGAAAGAAACCTGTAAGGTGAAGTTTTTCATTTCTTTTAACAGAAGCTAATAGAAGTATCAGCAGCGGTTTCATAGAGATCCAGGAGCTTAACACAAAGCCTGGGTGAAAAAGAAATAAGTCAATAATTGGAGAAAACGAAGGCTAGTTTCCCAGAGAGAAGAAAATACATATGTGGGCTGGGCACGGTGGCTCATGCCTGTAATCCCAACACTTTTGGAGGCCAAGGCAAGAGGATTGCTTGAGCCCAGGTGTTTGAGATCAGCCTGGGCAACATAGTGAGACCCAGTCCCTATAAAAAATAGAAAAATTATCCAGGCGTGGTAGCACATGCCTGTAGTCCCAGCTACTCGGGAGGCTGAGGTGGGAGAATTGTTTGAGCCCCAGAGATGGAAGCTGCTGTGACCCGTGATTGCACCACTGCACTCCGGCCTGGGTGTTGCAGTGAGACCCTGTCTCGAAAAAAAAAAAAGAAAAGAAAATATATATGTGATTAAAAGTGAAGAGTAGAGTGAACATAGCTTTGGGGTCTAGTCCCTTTAGTTTATAACTACATGTAACTCACCTAGCTCTAATCGAGAGGTGTGACGGGATGAACAGAAATTCAAGTTTGTCCTTTTTACTAAATATCGTTATAATAATATCCAAATTTAATGCAGTGATTAATATTCTGTATCATAAAACAATTATAGTTCTACAAGGGAATTTACTTATTTATTTATTTATTTAAGACAAGGTCTGACTCCGTCACCCAGGCTGGAGCACAGTGGCATGATCTCAGCTCACTGCACCTCCACCTCCTGGGCTCAAGTGATTCTCCCACCTCAGACTCCTCAGCCTCCCAAGTAGCTGGGACTACAGGCATGCACCCCTGCACCCGGCTAATGTTTTTTTTGTATTTTGTAGAGACGGGGTTTCACCATGTTGCCCAGGCTGGTCTCAAATTTCTGGGCTCTAGCAATCCACCAGCCTAGGCCTCCCAAAGTGCTGAGATTATAGGTGTGAGCCACCACACCAGGCCTACAAGAAAATTTAAATGTTATTTTTTAATTTTTTTAAGACTCAGGTCTACACAAGAATTCTTTTTCTTTAATGTATTCTTTATCAAATTCTACATCCTGTTATGCCTCCTGAATCTAATTGTACATTTAGACTATAAATTAGCATAATCAATATACTAAAGCAAGGCATTTCATATGTATTTAATACAAGAGCAAATATTTATTCCAACTTTCTGTTATTCATTCAACTTTCTACTAATTATGTAAAATTTATACTTCTAAGCCTAATGAGATGAAACAAACCTTTTGCAGTTTTTAAAAGGAAAAAAGGCATCCCTTTTGATAAATGTCTTCATTTTGTACACCAGATGTCTTTCCCTATCCTCTCAAGCTTTCTGATTTTATTTTTGTAAGTGTGAGAACAGTGAAAATGCCAGCCATTGTAATCAGTTAGCTTGAGCACCAGCAAAGATTACACAGCAAGATCTTATCTTAGTGGTTTTACATAAATACTGCACTTGAAGTACACTTAACTTTTTGAGACCCACAGTTAACCATAGAGCACACCAAAACCCACATTAGATTAACTCTATCTTATAGGTAGCCCACTTCAATAATCTCATTTTAAACCCAACACAGAATGTCATCCACAAAACAACTTAGCTAAAATTCTAAACATAACTTGCTTCTTCTCTTTATACCTTTATGATATTCTAAGTCTTTAAAAAAAAAACCCAAGAGTTTAACAATTATAACAAATAATTTCACAAGAGTAAACATGTGGATTTTTTATAAAGGCAGCAGGAATTTGATTAGAAATACTGTCAAAATCTTGCTTGTAATTCCAGCTACTCGGGAGGCTGAGGCAGGAGCATCGCTTTAACCTGGGAGGCAGAGGTTGCAGTGAGCTCAGATCGCACCACTGCACTCTAGCCTGGGCAACAGAGCAAGACTCTGTCACAAAAGAAAAAGAAAAGAAAAGAGAAGAAAAGAAATAAATGTCAAAATCTATCATAAAACTACTCAAAATATTACCTGCATACTATGGGCAATTTTGCTAAATGTGATGTAGTTTGGGGTGAACTGACACAAAGATCCGCTTGGCAGCTGCAAAATGATACCCAAATCTACACCAGTTGATGATGCCATGAAAAATTCAAGATGAAATTTTAAGATTTACCTGTGCAGAATGGCCATGACTGAGGTGCCAAGCTTCAATCTCATGGCAGAAGCCCAGGGGGCCCTCCAGACACACTGTTTTCCTCCCTGCTCTTCCCTCAATCATATCGTCAATGCTGAAGTCCCTAAGAATGGCTTTAGAAAAAGGTGCTATGACATTATCTGCCTTTATAGTTTCCTATGGAAAGCTGCAAATGTGCCTGAACAGAGTTTTAAAGCATGCTCTTTGACGATGTCTCTGAGAAGGTATCTTTACGAAACAGCCACATTAAATTTGGTAGTCTTTACCAACGGGACAACGGAGTAACCTGGGTCAACATACATAAACGCACATTTTAAAAAACTGCTTTTACAGGCCGGGTGCGGTGGCTCACGCCTGTAATCCCAGCACTTTGGGAGGCCGAGGCGGGCAGATCATGAGGTCAGGAGATCGAGACCATCCTGGCTAATGCGGTGAAACCCCGTCTCTACTAAAAAGACAAAAAATTAGACTGGCGTGGTGGCACACGCCTGTAATCCCAGCTACTCGTCGAGAAGCTGAGGCAGGAGAATCGCTTGAACCTGGGAGATGGAGGTTGTAGTGAGCCGAGAGCACGCCACTGCACTCCAGCCTGGATGACAGAGCGAGACTCTCTCAAAAAAACAAAAAACTGCTTTTACACCTGCCCTGCTTCACCCCCCAAAAAAGAGTGAAAGGGGAGTCACTCAGTGTGCATTTTAGGTTTCCACCCAATGTGCTGCATGCTGCAATAACAGAATAACTTAAGGGACCCATGGAAGCTGTATACATATTTTCTAAAAGTCCCAGAGTTCCTGATGGAAAGTTGGTTTTCTAAGTAGTGCAAGGAGATATCTGTTTAGCCTGTTCCTCCCAGCTGATGACTATGTGTGCCTAAGCCTCAGTTAACCGCTGACTCAGATAGCTCTCTAGCAGCTCAGGAACACGACGGAACGTGTAAGAAAAATTTGCTAGGATGTTAAACCATAGAGGCAGCCACAAATCAGAAGTCAGCTTGCTTATCAACCTGAAGTCTTTCCAAAGTGAGAAGTGAACATGGGTCAAATAAAAGGAAATTATAAAGTAACTTTTTGGTCCTCAGCAAATTCCTAAATATAATGCATAATCTCAGCCCTAATGCATCCTTACAACATAGCTGGAATGGAACTCCGAAAATAATGAAATAAGTATTGATCATAGAATCACTTCACTACCTACTAGTAAGTCCTGAGGAGAAATGAGGGATCTGAGTTTCCCTGGAGTAGATGATGCCTGAGAAGGGACTTGAAGGATGACCAGATTTAAACCAGTGGCTTCTCAACCCTGACTGTGCCTTACAAACACTAGGGAGGCTTTTAAAACTTATTTCCTATGTCTAGAGATTCTGAATTAATTAGTTTGGGGCAAAATCCTGGCATTAGTGTTCTCTGCAAGCTCCCTGGTGATTCTAAGATGTAGCTATGGTTAAAAGTACTGAAGACACAAAGAGTAGAGAGGAGTATCTCATTTCCAAAATGGGAAAGAATGAAATATTCAATGATAGAACAGCAGAACTTCTACCTTCAAGGAGGTTAAAATCCTTGAGGGAAAAAAGAACCCAGAGACTCTGGAACTAGCGGTCTGAAGTAGGTTTTTAGAACCCTGGGACTTTTTTTCATTTGCTCATTCAACCAATAAATATTCATCCAGGACTATGTATGAGGTGCTATGTCACGCAACCAGTTAAACAAAAGGGAGCAAAACAAACAAGGTCCCTGGTTTTAGGGGCATGACAATCAAGTGGAAAAGAAAGACACATATCATGTCTTCCATTATGTATTATGTTTTATGCACTGTTTTAAGCAAGGGATGACAGGATCCTCTTTGCGTTCTTAAAAGATCAATTTGAGGTGTGGAGAATGAGTTGGAGGAGGAGCTCCACAGAATGTCAATTAAGTCAACATGGAAGTCACCGTGCAAATCCAGTCCAGATGCCAAGGGAGCTTGGACTAGAATGGCAGGGGTGGAAGACAAATGGAAGCATGATGATTTTGAGATACTTAGAAAGCAATATTAACTAGACAATGTGATGAGTGGGATTGAGGTGAAGAAAGGACCAAGGACCAGTTCAAGGTTGCTGGCTTGGTAACTTGATGGACAGTTCCTTTCCTGTACTGAATGTGGGCCACCCAGGAAAGATGAGGTTTGCAGGAAAAGATTATGGATTCAGATCCATGTTAGTTTTGGGAGCCTGAGACATGCAAGAGCATACGTGAAATGGTTCAGTATACCAGGATGACCGAAGGTGCCTGCTGGCTCTGGATGCTCCAGTTAATGCTAGTTGTCCTGGCATCCTGTCATTTGGTGATTTGGTGCTCACTGTCACTCTCACAGGGTCCCTGTTTGGATGATAGGTTAGAAGGTCCCCCTGGATACTCATATCTGGAGCTAGAAGTTTTGAGTGGAATATTTGTGAACTGCCTGTTTATGAGTGAACACTGAAGCCATGGGAATCTATGACATTGCAAGAGCTGGGACAGTGGATACAGTGTGAAGGCAGAGGGTCTAAGGGCTTGTTTCTGAGGAACCCTAGTATTTGCAGACCAACTAGAAGAGGACAGATACCAAGAAAGTAGAGAGGCAGTTGCTGAGATGTCACAGAGCAAAGGAAATCAAGCTCTTCTTGGGCAATGATGCTGAGATCAAACTCAAGGACAACTGAAAAGTAGACTCTGGGAGGGCTACACGTTTATCCTCAGTTGTGCCACATTTACAATAAGAGGCTCTGCCTGTATGATCTCTAAATTCCTTCCTACTCCTAGAACCCTTGAATTCTAATAAACTAAAAGTGCAGCATGAGGTAAATGCTAAATAGATGTAGAAACACTATAGCAGCATGGGGGCAGAAAGAGAGAGGGAGATGAGTACCTAATTCTACTGAGCAAATCAAGGACAATTTCACAGAGAATGTTTAACCTGACACAGAAAGTGGGAAGACTCGCCTCGTGCTTGGAAATGCTAACTAAATCCCCTTGTGTGAGGCACACTGTACCTAAGAGATGGGAGGCGGGGCTGGAAGGGGCCTGGCCAGATCAGGAGGTATGGATCTCGGCTTCCATGCTGAGTTTGGGCTTCTTCGTGACAAGATCGGTTCAGGATTTTAGGAGGCAAACTCTCCAGGGGCAATCTAGAAAAATGGATTGGAGAGACGAAAGACGGGTGGCAGGAGGCCCAGTTAGAAGACATTCTGTGCAATTAAGATGAGGGATGAGAGCCCTAGAGAGGAAACTGCCAGTGAGGATGGAAAGGAGGGGCAAGGACCAGAAACTCTGAAATAAGAATGAGCAGGACGTAATGACTGATTAGTACAGGTAGTGAGGGATGGAGCCGTCTTGAAGATGGCTCTTAAGCTTCCAGCATGTGTGAACAAACAGGATAATGGGATAATGTACAAATACAGGAGAAGGGGCAGCTTTGCTCCTCAGGCCTGAGAGAAGAGTGACTGCTATGCTTTGATTATTTGTGTCCCTCCGAAGTTCATATTGAAAGTTAATCTCCAGTGCAACAGTATGAAGAGGGGCCTTTCGACGGGAATTAGGCCGCGAAGGCTCTGCTCTCATGGATGGAATTAGTGTCATAAAAGAGCAGGAGGGACTAGCTAAGCCCTTTTTGCACTTCCATCCTTTGTGCAACATGAGGACACAGAGCTTGTCTCCTCTGGAGGATGCAGTATTTGAGGCAACATCTCAGAAGCAGAGCAAGGTGCTGGAACACTGAGTCTGCCAGCACCTTGATCTTGGACTTCCCAGCCTCCAAACTGAAAAATAAATTTCTATTGTCTATAAACTGTCTAGTCTCAGGTGTCTTGTTACAGCAGCATGAACAGGCTAAGAGAGTGTTCAGAATACCAACTTGGAAATGATGAGGTTGAGATGGCACTGGAACAAACCCCACCCTATACATTCCTCTCTCTTCCTTGAGTTCCGAGTGCACAGTTTGTATTCCACATCTTCAGACTTAATCCTAGCTCACAGTGTTAGTTTGTCTAATTATTACACATTTCTTTGGAGCTTCTAAAATAGATGTCTTCTTCTATTTTTGTACCCCTTTCTTCACAGAGCCTAAGCCAATGTTGGGCTCAAAATAGGTGTTTAATAAATGATAACTGAACACATTAGAGCTGAAAAACAAAAAGGACTTATTTTCACTGGAGCCAACTAACATTTCAAAGACAAATGTTTAAAATTTGCTTTCAGCAAAATATTAAGAAATTCGCCAGGTGTGGTAGCTTGCCTGTAATCCCAGCAACTCAAGAGACTGAGGCAGGAGGACTGCTTGAGCCCATGAGTTTGAGGACAGCCTGCACAACATAGCAAGACATTGATTTTGTTTGTTTGTTTTAAAAAAGAAAGAAATCCATTGAACCGACTAATACATTAGTGGATGTATGTTTGCATCATATATATATATATATATATATATATATATATATATACACACACACACACAAATATATATATGTGTATATATATACACATACATGTGTGTGTATATATACACATATATGTGTGTATATATATACACATATATACACATATATATTTGTGTATATATACACATATATATGTGTATATATATACATATATATGTGTATATATATACATATATTTGTGTATATATATATACACATATATATGTATATATATACACATATATTTGTGTATATATATATACACATATATATGTATATATATACATATATATTTGTGTATATATATACATATATATATTTGTGTGTGTGTATATATATATATACATATATATATTTGTATATATATATACATATATATATATGTATATATATATTTGGACTGAGCCTCAACTCTGTTGCCCAGGCTGGAGTGCAGTGGCGTGATCTCGGCTCATTGCAACCTCCACCTCCCAGGTTCAAGCAATTCTTGTGCCTCAGCATCCCGAGTAGTTGGGATTACAGGTGTGCGCCACCACGCCCAGCTAATTTTTTTTTTTTTTTTTTTTTTGAGACGGAGTCTCGCTCTGTCGCCCAGGCTGGAGTGCAGTGGCGCGATCTCGGCTCACTGCAAGCTTCGCCTCCCGGGTTCACGCCATTCTCCTGCCTCAGCCTCCCGAGTAGCTGGGACTACAGGCGCCCGCCACCACGCCCGGCTAATTTTTTGTATTTTTAGTAGAGACGGGGTTTCACCGTGTTAGCCAGGATGGTCTCGATCTCCTGACCTCGTGATCCGCCCGCCTCGGCCTCCCAAAGTGCTGGGATTACAGGCGTGAGCCACCGCGCCCGGCCGCTAATTTTTGTATTTTTACTAGAGACGGGGTTTCACCACGTTGGCCAGGCTGGTCTCCAACTCCTGACCCCAAGTGATCCACCCACCTCAGCCTCCCAAAATGCTGGGATTACAGACGAGCCACCACGCCTGGCCTGCATCATATATTTTTAATATTTTTAGATTATATTTTTAATTGACAAGTGTATATATCTATGGGGTACAATGTAATTTCTCAATCCACATGTATACATTACGGAAGGATGTATCAGGCTAGTTAGCATTTCCCTCACTTCAAATATTTATCATTTCTTTGTGGTGAGAACATTTAAACTCCTCTCTTATAGCTCTTTTGAAATATACAATAGCTTATTATTACAGTCACCTTGCTGTGCAATAGGTCACCAGAGCTCATTCCCACATCTAAATGAAACTGTACCCTTTGACCAACGTCTCCCCTTCCCCATGTCCCATCCCAGCCTCTGGTAACCACCATTCTACTCTTCCATGATTTCGACTTTTTTAGATTTCACATGTGAGCGAGATCCTACGGTATTGGTCTCTCTGCATGATACATTTTTAAAAGAAACAAACAAGATAGATTCAAATGCTAAGTAATTCTGTGAATGGAACAGAAATAATTTTACCATATTCAAGTTTGTCTTGTAATTTTTTCTACTCAATAAATCAATACATGGTAAATTTACATTGTAAAATTTGGGCACAACATTTCCATAGACATTTTTCTGGAATCTCTAAATCTTTAAATAGAATATTCTCGTTAGGTCATTCTAACCGTAATGTGGAAAAAGGTAACCATTTATTTTCATTTTTTTAAAAAAAGAACCGGAATAGGCGGGCGCGGTGGCTCACGCCTGTAATCCCAGCACTTTGGGAGGCCGAGGCGGGCGGATCACGAGGTCAGGAGATCGAGACCATCCTGGCTAACACGGTGAAACCCCGTCTCTACTAAAAATACATAAAATTAGCCAGGCGTGGTGGCGGGCGCCTGTAGTCCCAGCTACTCGGGAGGCTGAGGCAGGAGAATGGCGTGAACCCGGGAAGCGGAGCTTGCAGTGAGCCGAGATCGCACCGCTGCACTCCAGCCTGGGCGACAGAGCGAGACTCCGTCTCAAAAAAAAGAACCGGAATATACTTAGAATGCTGTCCCTGTATAGGTAGATTTGTTTTTCCCACAAAGCATCCCTGTTATCTGGCATCACTAGGAGATGTGTCTAAGTAAATTTTCTCTCTCTCGAAATGTCAAAAATCTTTCCGTCTTTTTCATATAAATTTTGGAACATGCATCACACACATTGCCCTCTGAAGCAACTGTGGACCGTCAGTATGAGCGTCCACTACGCTAATGCTATCGTGTCGCTGCTCCCGGATAAGACATCACACACTGTCACTTCTCCGGCCATCCACGGGCCGGACTGGAACAGCCTCTCAGCTCCCGTTCCCCTTGAGCTGAGCGCTTCTAATGGGTAACTTGGCAAGCCAGGGATCCATGCTGCTAAGAATTATTCATTAATTAAAAGTAAGATTCTAGGTGACAGGCCAAATACAGCGCAGGAGCTGTGTGACTGCGTTGTGGTCATTCTTCCCTAAATGAGAGCTCCTGTTCCCAGCATTCTGACGGCTGGAAAGCATGTGGCACCATCCTGATACACACACACACACACACACACACACACACACACACACTCATACACACTATCCATTGCTCACTGCACACCTGGCTCCACTAGGACCTCCCTGTGTGTTAGCTCATTTCATCTTCACAGCCACCCCACAAGAGGGTATGTTTAACATCTCAATTTCATGGTTTCCAAAGCAACTTCATGGTACAGATGGACTTCAACTTCAGTCTCCAAATTCAATTCCAACACCCTCCACAAAACCATAATGGTAAGCATGACGTTCATTATAAGGTGCCGATGACAATGACTCCGACAACTGAAGACACTGCTGCCATCCCCATCTCCACCATGTCTGCTGTGTGGGGGCCCCGGGCCAGGCACCTGGCAACAGCAACACCACCAGCCATCGTTACAAACCCCATGTTCAGATGAAGAAATAAGGGTCAGAGACGAGGCAGCTTTGCCCTAGATCACACAGCACGTAAGTGATAGAATGGGATTTGAGGGCTTCTCTAATTTCGGAGCCCAACTTGGTCACCACAAAGTAATGAAAACCAGTGTGCTAGGGGAATTTTATTGATCTTTTTATTATTTTAACATAATGGTTAAGACTTATTCCAATGTATCACATTTAACATTAGACTCTCCTTTCTTAGAGAATTTAGTATCGGTATTCAGGCAACATTCAAATGCTAGCAAAAACATCCCAATATACTTTAGTTATAGCTGGCCACTGCAGTTCCGCTCCAAACAATAGGTGTATTAAGGGGGTCAAGAGCCTTGTATTGACTCTGGGAGGCAGAGATGGAGAGATAAGCAGACAGGGATGGGCAAGGACAAAGGATAGGCCTAAGTGCTACTGCCTCTTAACCCGTTCCCTCCCTGCCATGAGTAATTCTGTACAGAAGACCTGCCGGCAGCCTAGGTTTCTGCTTTAAAGCAGGAAGAAGTGTACTGTAAACTGAAAACATTTTCTCCTCCAAAATGGGTAGAAGAGGATGGCATTCAAGATTACCCACAATCTGGACCCAAGCTCTCTCTCCAGCCCTTCCTGGATTTCTCCATGAGGCAGCCTCTGCTGGAGACCTACTGCTCATTCACAGTCTCCCAAATCCATGCAGATCTCCGCAGCTACATCACAGGTTGCAAACTGGTAGCCCAACTGCCAAACCCAGGCTGCAGACTTGTTTTGTTTGATTTGTGAGTTTTGTATGTTGTGTGTTTTTTATTACCCCAATGAGCTCACATTTGAAAATCTAGAGATTTCACACAATCCATCTTCTGGCATTTCTTGAGAAATCTCACAATCTGGCAACACTAGGTTTCACCCTCACATGGCAATGACTAGTCTAGAGGCGCGACGTGGCACCTCCTTTTGGAGAAAGCGTGTGCCCTTTAGTTCACAGTCCTCACCACTCCCCATGTGTCTCTGACTCTGAGGCTATGTCAACATTGTTTATCATCAAACTTGCTCTGTTGTTTTTCTAACAGTAAAGAAATACTTCTCTGTACCAATGTTTCTTTCAAAAATGGGGAAAAAAAGGACAAAGAGAACTACATATTTTAAGAAATATGAGAGGACGCATATCTTGGTAGATGTGAAAATTTAATATGCAAATAATCTGGCCAAATTCATTGATCTGTGCTACCTGCTGGTGTTGCTGTTACCTGTTCGTGAAGTTGGGCTTGCTACCGTTGATGCCTCAGTTGTCCATTGTGTTTCCCTCTCCTGGAACGCCCTTACCTCTCCTGGTCAAAGTCTTGTCTTTTTCCAGAGATCTATAGTCTCCAGCCACATCTTTCGTCCTCATCTAAATGCTGACAAGTCTGTGTTGGTACTATCTATTTAACATGAATCACAGGAGATCTTCAAACAATAGAACCATAGACTTTTAGAACCTGAGCAGTCCTAGGTGATGACCGAAGTCCAGAGGCCACAAACCTTTTGTGGAGAGGAGCTATTCTCTAGTGAGGACACTTGACATTGATGTAGAGTGAGGGAAGATTTCATTCCTGCATCAATTATTTACTGTTGGACTCTTCAGGGCCAGGCACTGTGTCAGCAGCTGAGGCTCTACTGAGAACAGGGAAGAAGGGTCTCTGCCTTCACAGGGGGTTTTTGTGGGCAAGCGTGCAACAAACATTTTGCCAAGTTATTCCACAGGGAAGGAGGCAAATGGTCAGCTTTTGTTCTTCTCAGGTCACTGGCTTCCAATGCCCCACTTTGTTGGGTATCTCCGGCCTCGACTGGGTTGGGGGGAAAGGATAAGCCAAGTGTTCCTACTGTCTCAGTTCACTATGTTTCGAAACATTTGTGAGCCCCAGGGCCCCTTTGTTATTTGTTAGCAGTTAAGGCCACAAGACCTTTGCAGTGTCTCAGAGTTTCAAGGCACTGCTAACGTCTGCATGCTGCAGGAAGGGTGGATGCTAGAACCATTAGGTTGGGTACCCCCCTTCAGTTCTCTGGCATTTCAAAGACCCATGGGCTATTTACATACGATCTGACCAAAGTAGTAATCCTTCTATTACCTCTCCTGGCTTTCTTAATAACTTTAATTACTATCAGTTACCTCTTTATATCATGCCTCAACTAGAAACGAAAACTCCCTGTGAGTCTGAGATCAGGCCTTATTTCTTCTCATCTTTCCCAGGACACAGCCACTTGGACACAAGAGCACAGACAAAACAGGTGGGGCTGGATTTGAGTGAATTGAGGGAGAAAAAATGGCTGTGTCAGTAAAGCACACACTATAAATGAAGATATACATTCAAATCAGAGCAGAGATTTATTGTATTTATATTGACTTGTAATTTTTACAGATTCAGTAAATTTGCTACATCAAATTAAATGTAAGGGTTTAATACGTTTCTCTCTAAATATATATTTTAATGGGGTTTTCTTAAAGTAAAAAAAACTATCATATTTTGTCTAGATTTTCAATTATGGCATCACTTTAGAAAAATGATGCATATAACAATAGACACTGAGGACTACTAGGGCGGGGAGAGGGGGAGGGTTGCAAAATTAGCTGCTGGATACTATGCTCACTGCCCGGGTGACGAGATCATCCGTACCCCAAACCTCAGCATCATGCAACATGCCCATGTAACTAATCTGCCTGTGCACCCCTGAATCTAAAATGAAAGTCGAAATTATTCAAAAAAAGAAAAGAAAAAAACGATTCACAGAAGTGTAGCAATCACTTGCTTCAGTGGCGCGTACCTCATAAAAATGCACTTGTTCTGGAGAAATTGTTAAACTTTCAGTGACTTTTTTTCTGCATATTAGTTAAGCCAAAATTGTTGTGTTTTAACATTTGCAGTTCTTCCTGATAACCACTGTCATAATGACTCGAAAACTAATAGATTCATCCATGGATCTATACACAACATAGTCCTGCTCTCCTTTAATCTTCCTCTATCACCAACATTCATAGGAAGTGAGTTGCACAAAACACATGTACTTGTAATTACATTTGCAAAAAAAAAAAAAAAAAAAATCCTCAAACAGCTGTGGAGACAGCAAAGATTAGAATCTGATAGTGGCTTAGAATAATAAAGAAAGGGATTGTGAGGGTTCAGCTACAGAGCTGATGAAAGATGGAAGGAAAACCTGCTCTTCAAAATCCTTAATCTGTATTACTTCTAAACTCTAAATTGAAACACATATATTCCAAGAATCTGAAATAATAAATGATGAGTAATGTTTCTCGATCAGACAATGATTTAAGATATGTATTAAACCTTGTGTTTTACTAGCAATAAATTCAAAATTTGTATATTATTTACCTAAAATGTTTGAAGGTCTTATTTAAATTATTATTCTTCTAAAAATCTCATAAAATAATTGAAATTTGGTTACATCTGGCTCATTTCTAGGCAGTATTATTTATTTCTTAACATTACATTTACACCAATTATGAAAGATTATGAAAGTCTAGAGTCCTTGATGAAGCCTTCAATAATCAACTGGCACAGTGAATTGATCACAAAAATAATCTTTTAAATAGTTTCCTTATTATAAATACTGAAGAACAGAAAATAATTTTAGTATCATATATCTTTATTATAGATATAAAATATTTGAGAAGATGACGCAGAACAGAAATGTGACAATTATAAAGAGCCATCTTTTGAAGCTGATTGTATGTTTCAATGAGTAAGTACACAGACACCAGAATTACTTATACTGTAGAAAAACTTAACTGTATTCCCTCACTTTGCAATTTTTATAGTGAACTTTACTACTCTTTTAAAACTTTTAGAAGCTTGTAGCCTCAGAAATAAGAGCCCATTTATTAAGGAAAATTAATTCCCCATAATAAATTATGCTTTTTTAGGTGGCATTACTTGTGTTTTACAAGTAAAATGACTCAATTAGCCAATACTTGGTATTTTCCAATTTTGAATAGAACCAATTGTCTTGTATTTGATTGACGCTGACTAAATGAGAACTGATATAAACACAATTATGTAATCTGACCACTTAATTTTCAATTTTCAATGTATTTATTGGACCAAAAAAACAGAGGTCTCCTTAGAATGACACATTTTTATCAGACTCTTATGCTGTGCAAACAATTGTTCATTACAAGTTGGGAATATACTCACATAATATAATGTCCTTTCATTTTCTTTTTTAAAATCCATGACCAAAGCAAGCTATAATATGCTCACTATTACATACACGTGTATTACATACACGTTCAGAGAAAATTAACTAACCCTCATATATATGATGGCTTCATTTTTATATGTCACTATTTTCTTCTCAAGTTGCTTTCAATATTATTAACCAGGGGAAAAGCTTACAGAGAACTTGCATCAGGCCATGGACTTTGCAGACTGTACTGAGGAGGTACCCCACTTAAATGACTGAGTACCCCGCAAGAATCAATGCCCTGGTCATCTGGCATAAATGGAAAAGCATTCTTCAATAGATAATCTGGCTTCATTATCTTGCATCAAAATAGTAACCTCTGCATTTCACGGAATCTATTAATACCTAACATATATTTAGACTAAAATTCCATATAAATATTAGATTTAGGAAAGAAACCAATTAACTTTTTAAAGAAAAATGAAATGATAGCCAGCTAGTCTAGTGCTACTTGATAAAACTATTGTGTAACAGATTCTGGGATCACAGATTTAGGGGAGAATGTATAATCCTTCATCAAAGAGTGGCAGCTTATCCACAAAGCTTCCTATCCCCGATGGGCTATTCTTTTAAAAGTAATAACGAGGGCCTAAAGACTATGTAACACTCTCCCACCAAAATTAGCCATTTATACCAATTATTCTTAATAGTAAAAGAACCAGAACCTCATCCTGAAAGCCTTTGAGATCTTTCTTTTAAGGAAAAAAAAAAAGAAAAAAAGCATAATGTGCATTAATAATTTATATCTACTCCTAAATCAAGTGATTATGTTCCAGACTTAAAATTAAGTGATAAAAATTACATTAGAAGGTATCATTGTTTTTCAAAAGATAAAAATAATAAAAAATAATCCCTACGAGGCTTACATTAGTAACATTTTTCCAAGAGTATGAACTATTTATACTTCACTTTCCTCAACATTTAAAATTTTAAAAGTGAATTATAGAGGCTTTTTAAAGTTGAAGTGGTAATTACACAACCAATCCACACGTCTTACATCACATTTACATGAAATACGTGATACATTCATGATTTGTTTCAGTAACTCACATTGTCCTTTGCTGATAGCTCAATATAAAATTTACCAAACTTGATATGTTAAGATTCCCATCTGAAGTACAATACAGTGTCTAAAAGCTACTTTCATCAGATAATGTGAGAAGAATTAACTGATGGCATCTCATAGAACAAGCACTCAGTCCTCTCCTTCAGATCTCTCATTTGTCACAAGACATCAAACAACTGCATAGTGGAGCTGAACTAGAACTAGATTTGAAGGCTCAGATTTTATAGAAAACTTTCAGAATGAGAAAATGGACTTCGGTCATGGCTATACTGATGGTTGACCGAAGTTCCTAACATCATACTTGAATGAAATGCAAGACTGTATTAGTTTTATTGAAATTACCTTAAACCAGAAAACCAAGAATTGATGTATCTTAAAACCTGACACTTGTTTTGCAAATGCATTCATGCACACTGTATGACTAAAGATGTATCATTCATCTTTCACATTTGTAGTAACTTTTTTGTTATCTGTATGGATTTTACATATTGTATATTCATGATATTCTCCCAGTATCTAAATTACATAAACTGTAATATTCATTAAATTAAGGTATTTTTATAATTTTTAGAACACCAGAATTATCGGATCATCTAATTTCTTTTTCAGGCTGCCTTTAAACAGACTTCAGTTAGTGTATGTTTTGATTACTAATATTTTTTAATTCTTTATTTATGGGTTCTAAATCATATTACCAGTATAAAGAAAGATCTGAAGTCCCCTGAAACATATAAAAGATAAAAGCCCAAGTGTAGATAATTTAAATTATTAAGGTTTCTTTATATGCATCTTTAGTAAATCAATATTTGAATCTCAAAATATATAAAATTAGGTCTTTTCTGTTTGAGACTGCACTTTTAACTAAAAGGTACTGCGCTTCAAATTTTTACGGGAAGAATTTTTAAAATAAATTTAATATTTAAAATTACATCTTTTTTCTTTGGTTTAAGTTACCACACTAAGCAAATTCTGTAGCATCTACTATCATACTAATTAAAACAATATAGAAAATTATATCACAACCAAAACACAGGATAAAAAACTTTAAATTTTTAAAGTACTTTATCTTTAGTAAAGTGTTGACTCAAAGTCCCTGTCACATGTGTAATTTTTTAAATTAGTAAAAATCGAAGAAAAAAATCTTACTGGCAAATCAGCTTAACATATCAATATTGTTTATTAAAAAATTGTAGTGCCAGAGTCTTTTCATTCAGAGATTGTATATTCTAGGACAAAGTAACAATTGAGGACTAATTTGCTTTACTTAATTTTGTAATCACAAAAAACATGATAGGGTATTCTACTCATATTTGGAAAGAAAAAATATAAGGAAGCATAAAAATTATTCTAAAAGTAAGGACTCATTTCTGGTTTGACAGGTATACCTTACATACAAGTAACAACTTTAATTTTTGTTTAAATTAAAATTTATTTTAAATGTTAAATATGTTAGTAGCTCCATAGAAGAAAAACAAGTTGAAATTTAAAGCAGAAATATCAACTTATAAACATATTATAGATAGAAAATGCCTGTTCTATTTAAATTTGAGGGATAACATCCTGGCAGAGGTTCTCTTCAGCTTTCACCCCTTTCTGAACCCTTTCTGAACTATTAAATTCATTAATAGTTCTGTAAGGCAACAAATGTACTTTCTTTCTCCTAGTAGGTCTCATTATTTTCAAGAGCTTTTCTAATTATTTTGGAATTTTCTGGAAGTATTAGCTAAAAGATGAGGAATAACATTTCAGTTATTTTCATTGTGTCAACTTGTTCTCACTATTACTGATACCATCATAAAATTCAGCCATATCCTTTTAAGAGTGCCTTATTTTTGTGACAATCAAGAGACAAAATATGGCTGTGTATACTGCAGTTTTCATTTCTTTGCAATATTATAGTTCATCACATATCTATAATATGTATTTAGATTACTAGATTCGTTTTTATTATTTGCAGTATTTTAACCTACACAACTATTCTCATCATTACACAAAATTTAAGTGAAAAAATTTTAAAGTTTTAAATATTCATTTCATTTTTGCTTATAAATAGAGAAAAATGTAATAACACTGCCCAAGATGCTTTTGTTTCTTCGTTTTTTTGTTTTGTTTTGTTTTTTTGCTCCTAAGAGAAAAAAAGTCATAGATTTATTCTTCAAGAACTATAGGAGTGATAGCTTTCTTTAGCTGGAAGTTATTATAAATTCTGAAAGAAATAAAAGTTACAGCTGGCTTCCCCTGGTTTTCATAATTATTTCAAATGGCAAGCTCTGTGCCAATTTTCTTAAGAGCTATTTAAAAGAACCAGTCACTTGCCAATTTTTTTCTACCTACGTGTTGACAAATTCCAAATTCTCTGATAAAAAGTATTAGAATAGATGTTACTCTTTAAAAAGAACATTAGGTAGACTGAAAATAAACAATTAGTTTACTTTTCAATAGCGTACTTTTTACCAAAATAAGCATAATCTCATATTCATATATTTGCACATGCTTCATGCAAGGTATTTAACATGGTTCACACATTTCTCCCTGTAAAGTATATTCTAATAATTCAATCCTGTCTTTTCACTGTCTGCATAACGTACCTTCTAGTATGTAGTCCAAGAACATAAACTCTCCTAAGATACCATCCCAGTATAGAAGCCACATGCTGGACACAAGAGGATGCTGGAGACGCTCTTGAGTGAGGACCTCTTCTTTGGAAACGCCCCTATTGTCAAAAAAGACACCTCCTTATGCAGAGAGGGGGGTCAACAATTCTAGTCACAATATTAGTTGAGCATAATTTAACTCAAGAGGAAATAATTCATTCTAATAAAAAAGTAGCTTTTCTGTTTGGGGGAGGGAACAGAGAACCACAAATCCACGTCACCCTCTTATTCAGAGTGTGCTGCTATCTTCATAGACAGCCACTGCATTCAGAGGTGCTACGGAATCGGACTGAAGGAAGACAGTCACTACCAAGCTGTTAATCCTTTCTAAGTAATGGCAACCTGAAGAGGTATTAGCATAAGAATTCTAACAAATATTACTAGTAATTAAATAAAGGAAAGAATGACTAAAATATATTAAGAGCTGTATCTTTAAAGGTAAGTGGCCTTTATAAGTTACCTCCTAAATGGTCTTTTTAAATAATCAGAGTCGTGTGGGTTTTTTTAAGTCTCTACATAGAAAACTATAACTTGATTTTCAGTCTTATAAACAAAGCAAGCATGCCTATAAAATAGAGCTCTTAGTACATTTTCTTTTTTCCATCAGTATAAGCAACTGTATACAATATTTGGAATGTCTTGGATTAAATTTAAAAACTGATACTCTGGTTCTCCTGCAGGGATTGAAAATACATATATTTAAAAGTGAAAAAATTTACAAGTTAATTTTCTTCTGTACTTACCCAATTAAAATAAATGACAAAATTTTCCCTTTAGTCTGCTTTTCCTGTCACACACCCTGCTACATACAGAAAATGCTCAAAGGGCCATCGCTCATTATAAAAGATATTCAATTTCCTATTTTCTCCTCTTTCTCTCTCTTTCTCTTACTCCCCTCCCTTCCTCTTTTCCTTTCTTCCTCCCTTCCTCCTTCCCTTATCTTTTTTTGGTTTTGAGGCAGACACCAAGTAGACCCAGTTATAAAATAGCTGGTTATTATTAATATGATCCCATCCCAGGGCAACCAAATCACATTATCCCCACCTCTCCCCAACTACTCTAACAGAAGTAAAAACTACTCCACAATATTTGAGAATATACTATCAACAAACGCAATTTTTGTATCCCATGACTTTTATATAATTATATAAATGATACAATTTTATATCATTAAATGCAAGTGTGAATACAGGCACTATGTCTTCCCCAAGGTATTTTCAGAAGGTATCACTGTGTTTTTGCATGCTCTAGTACAAACTACAGAACTATGAATGTGGGTCAAATAGTAAGTAATAATAGTAATAAATGCCACATCTCCATAAGTAATGATTGACTCCTAAACTTACAAAAAAGAATATAAGCATAGTTTAGTGTTATGCTACATTTCACTCCACACATGCTCCTAAACATATAAGAATTACCTATTTTCTGAAGGAAGTCAAGGAACTCGGTTAAGACTGCCACCTATCACAAACTTGTTTGAAAAGTCAGTGCTACCCGATCCTAGCTCTTCCAAGATTCCAAGAAAGTTATCAACAGGGAAGTAAAATCTCATTATTATTATTATTATTACATGATATGGTTTCAGTCATCCACTCATATGACTTATGAGTTCATTCTATGATACTGACATTAATTTGCAGTGACTAATTTAAAATAGAAAGACATGGGTTTGAGTAGATCACTATTTTTAGTAAATTCCATGTAGCTGTTCTAGCTAGGCAATCACCTGGGTTATTTAACCAAAACTACAGAAAATTTTATTGCAATTCCTTCAAAAGAATGAATCCTATTGTAGTTTCAGTGTACGAAACATCTGTGTATCTCAGGGCATGTTTCTGCATTTTGATAGTTTATACTCTAGCACTTGTGTAAAATAACATTTTGAAAATGGTAATTTAACTGCATTATTTTAGCATTTAAAACTATTTTAAATGGATGTCTTAAGCTGGAAAAACACCAATCCGATGCCAAGAATCTATCATTACAGAGAATAAAATAAAGATACATAGTTCTTATCAAGTTTTTTTCCTTCCTGAAAGTAAAGAGTAATGCCATTGTGGGAAGTTTACACGCACTAGAAAGCAGTTACATCTTTCTTTAGAAATCATATATACTACGGATATACGTTGATATATATGGATATATATTGATATATATGGATATACTGTGGATATATTAGAATGCTAATCTATATTAATCTTATATTCTGTGCTCCTAATCTTTTATTTGATTGGGACAACATGTATCACAATGCAATATGAACCAAAGCCCAAGAAAATCTTAAAGTGGTCTTTCAGAAGAGACTTAAAAGCTGATAAAACCAAAGATGACCAGGTACAGATAAGAAACAAATGCAAATATCACAGTGGGGATGATAACGTTCACCATCTCTTCACATTTCCATTAAGGAATTACCTCCACATGCATTATCTTTCATTGTCAGGATTACACCATCTTATGAAATAAAGTTATAACACATGCACAAGAGGTCCATCCAAAATTCTAAGAAATCTCTGAAAAACTGAACTAGAATGTTAATACAAACAAAAAAGGAAATAACCTAGATGGATTACAGTTACTATTAATGACTCAAAAGGCCATAAAATCCTTTGATGGGCAAGAAAATATGCCTTGAGGCATATTGCATTTTGGGAAAATAGGCTATTTGAGTTGAATATATGTTAATGAATTGCTTCCTCATGTTTTATATAATTCTTAGAAAAAGTTCAAATTAGGTCCCCAATAGGATGTTTTAATTATGAGAAGCAATCTTTTGAAACTCATACAAGCCATCACACTCGTTTGGAAACAAATGACTTTTCAAGATGGAGAAGTATCACTATCAATCACCAACAAGTTAATTCTACATAATAAGGCAGGTTTGGATGCAAACTGATCCATTGTGGAATGCTGTATCTAAAATTGATTACAACAGCACTCAAAATGAACGCAGCCCTCCAAACCACTTCTTTGCTCAGAAACATTAATCTCAATTAGAAGGAGAGCTTCATAATGGTCATGCTTGGTATAAAAAAGTATAAAATAAATCAGGTTTTATAAGACACAACAATTAGTTTTCAGACTAAGGTTTATTTTATTTTATTTTATTTTGAAGCACAAAATTTCCATCAGGTCTGTTAAACCAGCTGATGTTTCCAAAAATAAGTTTTAAATGTATTCTAAAAGAAGCTTACGTAAAATAATTTTTAAAACTTAGTTGTCGAAACTTTTAAATAACGTAATATTGTGTTATCTTTTCAACAGACTTTACTCCGAATGCATGTGTTCAATTTTCCTACGGGCTATCATTCCACTTTACAAGGCAACTATGAACACAACACTAACTTCAACTAGAAATTTAAAGGAATATGTAATTGGTTATGGACCACGGTAAACGTTTGGTGGCAAACTATTATATTCTTTGCTCATATTCTCAACCTAAGTAAAAAAAAGTATGCCCTCGAAGTCCAAACGGATATCTGACTATCAAACGAAACACAGGGTAGATGAGCAATGTGTAATTCAACATGCTTAACAGGTTGCACAGCTTCCAGAAAAGGGCAGACAATTCATCACAGCTGCTGAACACACTGATTCAAATAAATATAAAACTTGGATGATATTCAACCACCATCCAGAAATCAAATTTTTACAGGGTAAAATAAAGTTTAATAAAAAGGAGGCACATGCATTTATTTAAATAACCAATATTAATAAACTAATAAACTTGGCTTTGTTGGGCTTTCATATCAGACAATGACCATGCTCTGAACTTATTCCCTAGTATCCCTATAGGTAGGATAAACTTCAGCATCTCCAAACATACATTAACAGCTATTGCAAAGACATCATTTTTTGTACACCGAGCCTAACGGTGATTCAGTATTTCTGACAGGTCACTCTACTCACAACGATAGCCACGCGCTTCTTCCTGCTATCTTCTTTGCTTGACTCTTTACAAACAGAATAATTACTCTTGGCTCCCAGAAGCAAAGCTAAGAAAGAGTAGCTTGAACTTACTAACTGGATCATTATTGTTTAGCTAGGTTTCCTTTCTGAATAAGTTTAAAAGTTTTCACTCTCTTTAGGAGCTTTTTTCTATTCAAAGATAAGCATCCTTATCTTTCTTTGTCTTCACCCTAATAAGGCAGGTTCCCTTTTCTAACCAAAAGACTGATGACACGCCTACAGAATCATAGTAAGAAAAGCCTCAATAATTTACCTAAAACATCTTTCTAGAAAATAAACACAGCCATGCAAAATAATCCCGTTTGGAGGAATAACTAGTCACAATTCCATAAATCTATCTGCTTTATTCCCAATAATCAAGTAATCCTCATTAGGGTGCATAGGTTGCTAACATAAAGCTATTGGCACAGGGGGTTCACAGAGTTTTCCAAATATATAAACGTTAGCATGGTGATTAGTACAACTACATTTTTTATAAAAACTGTGCAGTGCATGTAAAATGTGTGTTTGATTTGAACTACTTTTTCTAACTATTCTTTTCTAAGTTATTTAACATAAGATATATTTGTTTACTATTAGAAAAAAATCTTTGATTAAGAGGAATAATAAAATTCGTGTAAGAAAAAAAGAACAAGATTGTTAAGGGAAATGCAACAGGAAGAGATACAGACAATCCTGAAATACACAATAGAATAACTAAACTCATTATAAACTCCTATCTTTGAAGAATTTAGGAATAATTTGTGAATGCCATGACATTTTAAAGTGGGATTAGCAAGTCTTATTACTGAACTAACCTCTCACTCTTAGATCAAGAATTAAATATTTACTCTGCATTTAGAATTACAAATCCAAACTTTCAGGGCTCATACAAGAATTTTATATATTAAGATATACATGCTCGAAGTTTTAGATAATTAAAAGTGTATTAAGGAATGCACAAAGCAAGATTGTTGAATTTATAAAATCTTGTTTTAATTGAAATATTAAAATAGATAATTATTATTACACAGTTGCTCTTAATTCTAAAGTCAGTCTGTTCTCAATATATTAATACATAAAGACTACAAATACTTCTCCAAGTAGGCAGTGGGGAAAAAGGGATATGCGTCATTATTTTAAAGAAATTCACTAAGGGATCAAATCACCAAGTTCTGTTCAGTTACAATACCATCTTTTGGGATACTCTTCCAAGCTTTCCAGAGATGCCATATCCACCTTTTTTCTTTTGACAAGAGAAGGGAAAGGTAATGCCTCAACATATGTCTATTTCTAGTGAAAAGACCACCCAGTGGATTCTGCCAGAGTCTACCAATGTTTGACAAAATACATTGTCAGAAGATAAGAAATAGAGCATGATGAAGAGACAGTCCTGTTCTCGGGCATCCCAGCCGTCTGGGGCCCTGTAAAAAGTCTAGGACAGCTCTCAGCCTTTCATTTCCATTGCACCTCCTCACACGTACCTGGAAACTTTTCTCTACCTCCAAATTACAGTGACTTGGGGAAACACACGTGTGTGATGTATTACACGGTACAAGTACTTGTTACCCTCTCTCTACAATAAAAATTAACAAGTTACCACTCCAGCTACCTTAAAGGTGAGGCAGTAAGAATGGAATCCAAGCTGCATAGTAAGATGCTCAGCAAAGATCAATCAGACACAACCCGCCTCAACCTAAAATACGTGAAGCTCTTTGTAATCGGTTGTAAAACACGAGAGGGACTTAGAATCTCAGTTGCAGGCTCATAAATTCGTAATTTTTGAAACGCCCAGCTCAGGATATTTTGTGTGTGTTTCCAACCCCATCCAGAGTTTCCCGATCAAGTTTCAGCCGTGATCCACCACTCCCCACGCTACCCCTCGCCCCGCACTCTCCCTCCTTCACTCCTTTTCAACTTGGCTCCCTGATCGCTGCAGAAGCCTTCTGTCCCCTGCCTGCCCCGGAAAGCGGTGACATCCCGGGGCTTTCCGCTCGCTGGAAGCCCCCCAGGATCCTGTTAAGACGCCCCCGCAGAAGACGCGGGGCCTCGCCACACATCGGGGGCCGAAGAGGACCTGGCGGGCTCCCCTCCCCGCCCCCACTGGGCGCCCAGCCTCCGGACTGCCTTCCTCAGGGACCCCGGGGCTCCCCAGTACGGGGGCGCGGCGCCTGGCTCCCCGGGCGAGAGGCGCCGGCGAAGTTCCCACCTGAGCCGGCGGCCGGAGGTGGCTGGCGCGAGGGCGGGGCGGGGACGGGGAGGCCGGACCGTGGAGAGAATCCGCGCGCTGAGAAGATGTCCCCGCGTCCGCCGCCTCCCGGGGCCACGCGCCGTCCCAGCTCGCGCCCGCCAGCTCCCGGCGCCGCGGCCCGGCACTAGGACCCCATAAAGGAAGGAGGGCGCGCCGGCGGCGGCGCCGCACTTACCGCGCTCGGCTCGCCCGCGCCGCCGGCTCGCTCCCCGGCAGCAGCCGCCGCGTCCGCCCGAGCCGCGCGCACACCGCGCCGGGCCAAATTCAAAGGAGCCGGGCGCGGGGGAGGGGGGCCCCGCCGAGGGAGCGGGGAGCGGGCGCCGGCGGGGCGGGGGCGGGGAGGGGGCGCGAGTGTTACAACTTCCTTCCCTGCCCGCCCCCGGCCGCGCGGCCCGGGGACGCGGGAGGGGAGGGCGCCCGCGCGCCAATGAGTTCACTTTCTTTCTCTCCCCCGCGCTCCCCCTCTCCCCGCCCGCCGGCCCCTCCAGCCTCCTCCAAGGCGGCGGACCAGGCCGGGCCGGAGTTTTCGGGGTTCAGCCCGCGAGCGGGAGGACCGGGGAGGCGAGGGAGGAGGAAGGCGAGAAGGGCCAGGTGAGGAGGCCCGCGGGACGCCCGGCCAGGGAGCGGCATCCAGGACCGTAATTGTGCGGCGGGGGACGCGCCGGGCCGAGTGTGCCCGAGCCCGGGCGCGTACACGTGTCCGTGTGTGTGTGTGTGTGTGTGTGTGCGGGAGTGTGCGAGGGAGAGGAGGAGAGGAGAGGAGCCTACCATGCGCTTCCCCCGGTGCAGATCGCGGGAGAGCCCAATCACGGGGCGAGCTGGACCTGGCTGTGATCATTTATAATCCTTGACTCCTCCGCTCCGCCACTTGTCAAGATGACAGGTACTTTATTTCTTCTTCTTCTTTATTCAAAAAAAGAGATTCCCCGTTTACTGCCTTTTTCTGTCAAATGGGATTTGCCGGACTGAACCACGTTCGCCGCCCCTCCCTCCTTCCCTCCTCCCGGCCGCGTCGGGTTCGGGAAAGCACCGAGGCTCCCATGCTGTGACCAATCAGTGCCTTTACTACTCTCGCCGTGATTTAGGGGTCATCCGTGAATAACACTTCACGCTGATGAATGGCTCTTGCCGGCTTTCGGCTCTGATGAGGGGTCTGCCCGCCGCCGATTGAAAACACTAATGAACTTACTGCGCCATTTGAAATTCACACGCACCAACAAAATGGGGGTACGTGCGTGGGGGTCTGTCCTTTTCTGCTGCGGGTGGCGGGGAGGCGGCCCTGGGGGAGGGGGCGGGTAATTGCTTTGGACTTAAGTGGAAACACTTCTCTGTGTAATCAAACCTCTAACCTTCTTAGAAAACTACTTTTCTTGATCTTCCGTAGGGTGGGCATTTCAGGTCAGCTGAGTCACCCGAGGAGGTGGCAGTGCAAGACACTGCCGGGAAGACGGATTCCGAGGCAGAAGGGTGTAATTAAGGATTTCCACCCCCGGTAGGCGGCCCGTCCTTTGCAGAGCCTCTGAAAATGACCCGCGCCTTCCTTTCCACAGTGTTCTTTCGTCCGAGACCGAAAAGCGCAAATGACCTTTGGACAGGGAAGGGAGGCAGTAAACACTCAGACTTCCTTACCAGCCCCTGGTGGGCACTGCAGCAGAACAATTGTCTGCCCCCCAGGTTCAAGCACCTAGGCCTCCGCCCCGCATCACCTGGCCAGGGGCGGACCCGGGAGTCCTCCGAAGGCTCCACTCCCCACTTTTACTACTCTTCTTTCCTCTCCATTCTCCCCTCAGATTAGCGGCCGGACACTGTCCCTGCCTCGATTTTGTTTGCTGTGGGAGGGAAAAAAAAAGTTTGCTGCTCCTCCCAAGACACTGGCCACTTTCTACTCACTGAAGTTCCCACCGCAGCGCTGGCTCCCGGCTCCCTAGCTCCCGCCCCCTGTCTGCAGGAAAGCCCTCCCCCGGAGCTTCCGAAACTGCTGGAGGTTCCAGAGTTTTGTAGCTCCGAATGGGCGACCTGAGCCGAACCGCTCTCTGGCTGGGTGGTCGGCGGGATCCTTCAGGCTCCTTTCGGGTCCGGGACGGGGCGGCGGCAGAGGTGGGGCGTGCGTGCTTGGGGCTGCCGAGTGAGTGCGGCTCCCTGGTGCGCGCCCGAGCATCTCCCCGCCCTCTCCTGGGACCAGCAGTCTGCCCGTGGAGGGCTAGGAGCCCGCGACCAGGCCTGCCCCGGCCGTCGCCAACCTGTCCTTGGAAGCGTGGCGGAGACTGGTGCGCTCTCAGCCTCGTCGCGCCAGCCGCCTCGCGCCACCCTCCACTTTCAGCTTCAGAGCAGAGGATTCCGCCGACCTCCACCTGTACCTGTACTCGGCCGTTAGGAAATCCACTTGCATTTTTAACTACCGTGCAGAACCAGAAACAGATCGAGCACTGGGAGAACAAGGACGACGCCTCCTAGGAAAGCCTGAACCTTTATGTTAGTTTATCCAAAGTTTGGGCTAGAAGTGAGGAGAATCCCTAAACTCGAGGTGGTGTGCCCAGACCCACAGCCCGTGTTCCCGAAGTTGCTAAGTGCCCGAGCGCAGCGCGTTAAGTAGAGAAGTCTTGGTAGTAAGCGAACCCGACCCGGCTCTCGGGGCGCTAGTGACGGAAAGCAGCACGCATATCTTTGCGGGAAGAATCTAGAGTCGCCCTGGGATAGATCCATCTCCTTCTGCCACTGAATTTCACACTTGAAAAAGATAAGGTCATGGGGGCGGATGAATGATATCCCTCACTCATTTAGCCATTCTTATTATTATATAAAAAAAAGGCTTGTCAATTATGAAGGTGTGTCCCAGATATTACATGAAGATCATGCAAACTACTTGAAATTTGAATCCGGACATGATCGTAAGGAAACTCTTTCATAAAGCACTTTTGTGGCCTAGTTCCCACACACACACAAAAGTATTAGGTCTTTAAAACTTTTCCAAGTAGTAAGTGAGACTCCCTCTTACTGTCTACGAATACACAATAAAGAGATGAGACACTGCCCCAATCCTAAAGAGGCCAGAACTGAAGTGCTACATTGTGTGAGTTAGGGGATGCTTCTTTTTTCCAGCTCTTTTTTCTAGAATCCTCATTACAGCTAACGCTGGTAATAAAGGTAGGAAAACAATAGAACTCATAAAACTTAGAAATGGTAATAAATCTTGGCTCCTGTCTCTAGCCCAGTTCCTTCTTACATGAGATTCAAAGTTTTTCAGTATGCAATGCTGAACGTTCACACTATGGTTGCAAAATAGAAAAAAATACTCTAGAACTCATTAATACGGCCCTGCGCACTCTATGCCAGGCGTCGCTGGTGGACAAAGCGCGCAGGGGTCCTCCTCTACGTCTGCCTGCGCCTGTAATCCAGGCAGCTTACGTGTGTTAAATTTGGGTCTCTCTCTGTCTCTCACACAAAGAAGTTCCATCATTTGAGGCCGTTAGGAAAAGCTGATGTTGTGCAGTGCCAAACTACCACACGCTTCCTCCTTCGGATGAATCCCTGGAAAGCAGAGAGGCAGCTCGCTACGTGACCATCATGCTTTTTACCTCACTGAGCTGTTGTCAAGAGAGGGCGGGGATGGCGGGCAGCTCACGTCGTGCCCTCCGCAGCAATAAAAACTGGAGCGGGAGAAGAAATGCAAGACATCGCTGTCTGTTTTGCAAGCCTCTGGCCGCTCTCAGCAAACTCTGCCCGGCGCGGCTGGTGACTTTGCGGTGTGAACGCAGCCGGTCGTGCTCGGGATAATGGGACCGAGCTGGCGGCATCGCCCTCCCGTGGGCCCCTCTTGCCACACAGATGCGCAGCTCTCCAAAAGGAAAATGTGGCCCAGCAACCCTCGCCTAGCCCTAGTCCTAGGAATGCATGCCTGGGGCCTTTGGAAGCCTCTCAAAGGGCTGGGGGGCGGGGGGGAGGGATATAATGGGCCGAACCTCTGGATTCATTTTGGGGAAGAGGAGACAGGTTCTTGCCCCACTACTGAGGCAAGGCCAACAGCACCCTGCCCTGCTGCTCCACCGCCTCCCCGCGGGTCAAGTCTCAGCCGAGTGTCGCTGCCCACCTGAAGGTGACACCTGTCCATTTTAGTCAGCATCACATGCGCCTTCCCTTTCTCCCCTTTGGGGTCTGTCCGTTTTCTCCTCCTGTCCTAAAGAGCCAGCTTGGAACTGAAGGGGCCGGGTAGCAGCTGTTTGTGCCTCTTGCCCGTGCAGACTCGAGGGTCTCCGCAGCCACTTCCTCCTTTAACACGCGAGGCTTTCAGGCGTGCAGAAGGGGACCGCCGGGTCAGGCAGGTATTAGGCTCTCCAAGGACACTTGTGGACATCACTGGAGTTTACCTATTGTTTGGACTTTATTACATCTGCTTTAGCAAACGGAGGCATGAGCGGCCTGTCTGCTGGGTTCAAACCCAGTTGCTGCCCCGGCTGCAACCTCTCCCACTCAAGAGACCCTAGGAACGATGAGGAACGGGGTAGAAATGACCAGGGGAGCCAAATCTCAGGTACCGAGACCTTCCAGCTCACCCCTCAGGCTCAGGAAAGCCAATAACCCACATATGCCCAAAAGGAGCTTATGTCTCAACTGAGAACAGCAAATAGGTGATGGGCCACTTTAGAACAGAGGCTAAAGGCTGGTAGCCACTGAGCAAAACCCAAATTCTAGGCACCTGAGGTGTTTCCCTTACACAAGTGCCTTCACAGGTAGCAAGCAATTAATCTGCAACAGTGAACAACACTAAAACTTAAATTTTACATGGAAGTCTCTCAAGTAGACAAAGTTATTATTGGGTGGGGTTTTCCCCCCACTGGCAAAAAAATAACTTATCCCTTGGCTGTTAGATTGAGGGAACTATAAAACAAATATTTTAATTCGATCACTGACAAAGTCATAAAATTCAATGACTGTTTGTAGAGGAAAACATGCTTTCATTATCTTAATTAAAGCAAGATAAGCCTCTCTCAATGTGCATGCATTTTGGAGCCACTGAATGGACTGGTGATGAGACGAAGCAACCTTTAATTGGGACCATGCTTCTCCAGTACATTCGTTTGTATTCCATGGTGTAAACCGGGCCTTACGCGTGGCTCCGACCTTCGGTGGAAATGCATTTGCGTAGCACCACCCAGGGGCTCCCTTGCTTTGGCTAGAGCCTCATAAAAGACCCCAGGTTTTGCGAAGGATTTTGAACACCAGCGTCTTTTAACATGTGGAACTTTCGGTTTTGGTTTAGCTCTGTGAACGTATTTAAAACTTGCTACATTATTCCACAGTGAAAGTTGGAACCTTTTTAAGAGTTATCATAGAGTGCCTTTTAACATCTGTCATATTTTCTATAAACAACTTTTCAGTGAGAAGCGTATATAGTGTACTCGAGGTAGGCATTAGCTGCTGGCAAGGTTTATGATACAATAGTGACACTACAGGACAATTTTTTAGTCAAACAACACCCGTTAGATATTTCAGGGTCCAGCTTATATGTTAACTTGTAAATATAGGTTAAAAATATAGGTATCAAGTGACTAAATTCAGTATCAGACAAATTGAACATCTTTTTATTTCCCAGAAGTGCCCTACTCTTTCTCCTCCCTTTGGTGACCTCTTAGTCTGGAATGCTCTGCATCCGGGGCCCCTGGAACACATAGTTTTTAAAGTACCTATTAGTGATACTCTCCTCCCGTTGGCAGTGCTTCCACTGTGTTTTCTGCATGTAATAAAGGATGGCACTGTTTTTTGCATAGGTCTTTCCTAATAGCTGAGCACTCTTGGAGTGTAGGGGCTCAACCTTATGCCTCTTTGGACACACAAGCCTAGCCCATGGGCTGGCATATAGGAGCTGCTCAATAAATGTTTGTTGAACGAATGAGTGGATACACGAATAAAATATTTTCATTGTCTTTAGCCCCTCTGACTTTCTTTTTTAAACAGGGGTATGTCATAAATAAAATTTACCTTGAAAATGCATTTAAGTACACTGTTCTACTTCTCTGACCATGAAGTTTTTAATGGGACATCGTTTTAAAATTCTGGTCATTACAACGAACCACTTTTGACCTTGGTTGACTTTTCTCAGAATCATAATGCGAAGTAAAGACAAAAACAATGAGAAAAGGCAAAGAGATCAAATTTTGGTTTTCTCTTTTTCAGTAGGATATGATGTTTATCGAAATTTGGAAACAAATTGTAGCAAGCACCTATAACATGTAGATACTCATGTTTTTATATTAAATATGACATTATTTATAAAACCCTGTCGTCCTCCAAATTCCCTTTGGATTTTTAGTGGTAAGAAGTGTAGAGCCTAAGATGACTGCTTTTCATTTCTTCAAGACAAGGGTTCAGCTGGTATTGGGGAAACAATCTTTGTTTGTTCCTGTCTGCTCAGGAGGACTGTTTCTAATTGATCTGGCATGGAATTTAGTTGGAGATGTGTATGTTGCAACTGAAGCGCAGAGCCTGTGTGCTTTGTAAAGTGATAACCATATGGGCCTTATTTGAAACATTTGAGGATTTTCGACATTAACCTGGGTTAAATTGAGCTATAAATTCAACTCAAATGTATATGTCCTGACAAATTCATCATCACTTTGGATAGATTCAATCCATGCTTCCCTCAGATTAATAAAGATGATGACCGCTTATCACACATGCAAAGATTCGTCGTGATAAAGTACCATAATGTTGTACTTTGCACTGTTTAAATGCAAATTGCCCATATTAAGCAGACCTTTTCTACTGTTATCACTTTCAGTAGAATGGAAATGTTTAAAAATGATCTCTGGGTAAAGAAAAGGATATATAGTCAAATCTATTTCCTCTTACACCATTTGCAAGTGCACTTCGCTATCATCATGAAGATTTAATTAAGCAAGCTCAGCTAGGCTAAAAAGCAAAGAGGCTGAAAGTTACTACTTATAGAAACATATTCAGGACTTACACAAAATAATTTATTTACTATTCTTCATTTAGGGATTTGAGCAACCACTGAAGGTTAAGAATACAACAGAATTCTATAGCTCCTTTCCCCTATTTCTGAATATCAAATTTAGAGCTTAGACTTTGTTACAGATAATAGTACTAAGTTATGGATGTTGATGGGTCTTCCCTTGCAGCTTTAAATTGCCTTGAAAAAGATACAGTTTCTTTAATTAAAAAAGCTGCACAGAACTAATCCCTCTAGCTGAAAAAAGAAAAGTTTTAAGCAATCTCTTTCTGCTCCGAGAGAGAAAGGCAGACAATACCATAACAGATCAGAAACATAAGCTATAGTGTGCAGCCAGGAGCACAGCAGGGAACTGAATACTGCTCCGACTGTGTCATTTTTTAATCCCCCATCCCAGTTTTCCCCGTCTGACCTCATGCTGAGATGAAGTTATCACAGAAGACAGCTTTACTCTCACCAATGAATCCAACCCTGGATCTGTATTATCCTTAGCAGATCAAAACACCGCTTTCATCAAATAGCATTATCTGCATAAAAGGCATGCAATTGCCTGATAATTTCACCCAAACTATGCTATTCATTTAAAGGACAAGAAGAGAAATGTAATTCATTCCTTTTTGGGGGGGGGGAGGTGGCAGAGAAGAGTGAGACTTGGGGAGAGGCAGAGGCTGGAAAAGCTAACTTATCCCCTTCACTCATGGGAACTTTCCTGTTTTTAACACAAAATCCCAAGAAGGGGTCCATTTAAAAGTCCCCCTACTCCTGCGCTTTAAGATTAATTGTTGGAGCAATTTGGTGCAGTTTGAGTGACAAAAGTGTAAGTTGTGTAGAAAACTGGCAGTGAGAAATTACAAAGCTTGCTGATGTCATTAGCCATGCTTCCATGAACCCCAATAAAAACATCATATCCAGTAAAATTGGAGAAGCACAAGAATTAGCTGGACAATTGGATGAAGTTTAACACAACGTTGTATTGGGTGGGGGGGGATGCTGACTGGAGATCTTTCTGTGCATTATGAGAAGTTTGAATCCTTACAGTGGGAAGACAAAAGACAGATTCCACAATTCTGAGTTGACACTTTGAAAAATATTTAAGAAATCTTAGGCGTCAAGACTAGCTCTTTTTTAAAATTTAGAAAATACTTTAGCCTCTTTCAGAATGCCTTTTTCATCTTATGTTGAAACAGTGTTCTCATTTGCATTGTAGATTGTATAAGCTGTTATAATGGGCTTCTCTTTAATGGATCCTAACTCCTTATTGAATGACATCAGTTGTTTTGCTCAAGGTATGGTGATAGGTTAGAGCAATCAGCCAAAACCATTTGTGTCAAGTAAATGGAATTACTAAGAAGTACTAAAACTCCCACGTGAGTATGGGTGACCTATTAGGTATGTGTTAATATCCTTATCATATGTTTTACTCACCGTAATTTCAATGATTTTGCTTGAAAATGTAAATCTTCCACCCAGCCCTTTCAGAACTCACTATGTAAACTGACCCTGCAAGAAATTCAGTTTAATCTCTACCCTTCCATCACCCAGACAACATCTATACACAAAAATGTGTAGGACAAAGAATCAGAACTGCTTGAAAAAAGAACAACAATAGCATGCTTCAAATCAGAGGCAAGGAACACTCCTGGAAATTCATGAGGCAAGTGACGGGGCAAGAATTTTTCCCTTGAAAGAAAGAAGCTGGTTCTAGAAGAAAGTAATTGTAGCCCTATTATTCATTATCATTGCCACTTTAATTACATGGAGGTATTCCCTAAAACATTTCAATGCAATTAATAAACAGGTGTTTTTTTTTTCCATACCAGCTTTCCAAAACTACAACTTGATACTGTAGTGCTCTGAGACTAAGAGTCTATGTAGATATATGGTCTGCTCAGTAGTAAAGCTCCAACTGATGTTTCCAAAATACAGCTTCATGACATACAAATTATCTGAAATTTAATGTGATTAAGCATTAAACTGTGGTATTTCCTTGAATTTAATGACAGTACTATTTTCATGTCAAACTTGATTACAAGAACCAGCTTTCAGAGCAAACTGTTTAAAATCCCAAATCATTAACAGATCATTTAGGGTTCAGTCTCACAAAACTTCTTGTCTGTGAACTATCAACTAAGGATATGTAAGCAGAGAGGTGAGTTTCACATTCTTCTTACATATGTGTTGGTTGGGAGAAACTGAATCTACAAGTCACATTTCTGTCTGTTAATGCCAGGAGAGGAAAGATGTTTACATCATCAATACCACCGCCACTCTTAACAACATACTTACGACGAAGTTCGTGGTCATATGCTATTTTCTCAAAGCCTGTCATGGACCGTTACACCCATTTGAAATGGACATAGACAACTTCCTTAAGACTTTAGAAATTTAAAATACAACATAAGATTTTGATATTTTGATATTTCGTCTTTACTTTCACTTCAAGTCTGTATTCAACTCATAGCTGATTTTTCTAAGAGACTAAACCTGGTTCATCCATAAATCCTGATGTCAGAAGTACATTAGGCCACAGTTGTGTGAATTACCTTAGTCTGGAAACCTAAGCCATCATCACATGGGTCATGGAATTCTTTCTTTCTTTGCTTAAAGATGACACCAGAAACACCACTACTCTTAGGGTACAAACGTCCCAAGTGAGACAAAGAAAGATATTTCTAACAACCTTCTAGGTAAAGCTATCCTCTTGCCTAAAACTTTGGATCATTTTTGGAATTTTTTTTTTTTTTTTTTTTTTTTTTTTGAGACCGAGTCTCACCCTGCTACCAGGCTGGAGCGCAGTGGTGTGATCTCGGCTCACTGCAACGTCCGCCTCCCGGGTTCCAGCGATTCTCCTCCCTCAGCCTTCCTAGTAGCTGGGATTACAGGCGCGCATCACCACATCCAGCTAATTTTTGTATTTTTAGTAGAGATGGGGTTTCACCATGTTGGCCAGGATGGTCTCAATCTCCTGACCTCGTGATCCACCCTCCTCGGCCTCCCAAAGTGCTGGGATTATAGGTGTGAGCCACTGCACCTGGCCAAACTTTGGTTCATTTTTGGTGCTTAAGACAGCAGAGCTTGGTTTTCTCTGTGGCGTGATGCATTTCTGAGAAAAGAGAGTTGTGGAATAAAGCCATGAAACAGTAGAAGAGTCATATTGAAATACAGCAAGCTCCTACGGGCCATGTGATCTGATTTTTAGTTTACCTGATGAAGACGTAGCTCTGGCTTTGTTTGCTTTAGTGAAAAACATAAGAAGCCAGGCATTTCTAGAGCAGACTGGGGGAAAGAAGAATCTGGCCTGGGCAGAGAAGCATCCAAATTTCTTTCTGTGTTTACCTAACACTTCTTTCTTAGCCCTGTACTCCAAGTCCAGCACTTTTAATCCACAAAATCTGTGAAAGACCAGGATTCACCTTCCCCTCTTTTATCCTTGGATAAGATATCTAGGAGGAGAAAAAAGTAGGCCATGAGAAGATTATGAGCTAAGAGTCTATAAAGAGGGAGGAAATTGGCAGTGAGAGAATCTGAGTTAGGGGAAAGAGAAGGGAGAACAAGCTTAAACTGAAGATAAACTAAGAGGATGCTGGAAGGAAGAGAGGGTGCATGTGAGATTCCTAGCTTAGAGTCCTGGCTTAATGGAGCTCTGCATTTATCTTCAGTCTCTATTTACACTGATCAGTGAGTACTAGAATCTTGCCTCAAGAGTTTACAGTGTGACTTAGAAACTAGATTTAAATCAGGCCATGGTACAGGCAATATTTATTTTCAAACTTATTAGAAATCAACCTTTACTACCTTTTGGAATAATGTTGATAATAAAGAGGTTCCTTATTGAAATTTGAAGATTATCTTGATGACAAATATGCTCTAACTATCTATGGTAACCCTGGACCAATGATTTTCTAATTGTTGCCTTTAGACCCCCTGTAAGCAGAATCACCTGAGGGTTCTTGAGAACATATACGTTTCTGGGCCCTATTTCAGCTATAGGGAATCAGAATCCCCAAGGATAGGACCAATAAATTAGCATGTTAAACAAGTCTTCCAGAACATTCTTACTCAAAGGGAAGTTTGAGAAATATTGCCCTGGGTTAAATATTTTTCATAAAGTAAATATATATTTCAGTTTTAACATTTCCCTATTAAAAAGAAGTTGTTGCAAAAAACTGTCATTGAATTATTTTCAGAACTGACACAGTCCCATTTAAGAAAGAAATCAAAATTCACAAAACGAAGAGGGTGAGAGTATCTACCAGAAGAAATTCCAGCTGAAAATTCAGTGACACTTCAAAATTCAATTTTGGATTATATTTTCTAAGAGTCGTAAAATAAATGTTATAAACTGAGATGGCATTTTCTATGTATTTTAATAGTTGGAACACTGTGTACAAATTTTTGCTGGCTATCTTGTTTAATATTTTATATACGATTCTAAAATTATATAAATTTTGGGATGAACCTTTAAATATGTATTAGTTCTATTTATTATCAGAAATTAAAGAATGCTCTTGTGAAATGGAATAGAAACTAACTCAACTTGTGTAGCCTTTAATAGAAATCCCGAATAAATATATCAAAAAAAATGAAGAGCTTTATTTGGAAGCTAGGCATTGACAGGTCAGCATCCCATGCTATTTCTAGGATGGTTTTCATAAGCATTGCTCATGCCGAAAGCCCTTCAATTTTTAACATAAAGCATTATCACTATCCTGCCATCTTCACTTCCTTCTTTTGCAATGACTTGTCTCTGAAGGATGTGACTTTTAACAAAGTACTGTGATTACACTTAAGGACGTGACCCTGTTTTCTCTTATATTGCAGATTTAAAGTCCTTATGATAAGTAGTGGGAAAAGCATAAAAACAAGTCTTTCTTTTGATGTTGTCTTGACTACTGCAATTACCTGGTCTGCATCCTATTTTCCCTCCTCCTCCTGACTCGCCTGGCCTACACGCATGTTTTCTTGCAGACAACGTGCCCACCACATAGCATACATTGTCTCATGTGGTCCTCATAACAACTTCACAAGTCGTTACTATTATTTTCCTCATTTTAAAGATCAGTACATTGAAAAGTAAGTAATTTGCCCAATGTAAGTAGAAGAGCCAGGATTAATTACACTTTTTCCAGAGCCCAAACACTAAGAATGACACATATTTCTAGGAGGAATAGAACCTGCTCTGATCATGTTAGTCACACCCATATAAAATCTTACACACACACAGAACTATGAACTAGAGTTTAATGAAAGAGCAATGCCTCTTAAGAACACATATACACGCCAATGTGAATTCCACAAAGAAAATACTTTATTGCTTGAGTCTGCTTTTGAGAAAAGTCATTTTATAATATGAAAAAAATTGAACTTGACAAAACTTTAGGTCCTGTTCCAAGCAACTTTACTCATCTTCCTTTGTTTTATATGTTGTACAGATTTACAGGAAAATTGCTCCTAATATAACACTTTTTTTTTTGAGACAGATTCTCGCTCTGTTGCCCAGGCTGTGGCAGTGAGTGCAGTGGTGTGATCTCAGCTCACTGCAACCTCCACCTCCCAAGTTCAAGCAATTCTCTGCCTCAGCCTCCCAAGTAGCTGGGATTACAGGCACTCACAACCAGGTCTGGCTAATTTTTGTTGGTTTTTTTTTAGTAGAGACGGGGTTTCACCATGTTGGCCATGTTGGTCTTGAACTCCTGACCTCGTGATCCACCCGCCTCAGCCTCCCAAAGTGCTGGGATTATAGGCATGAGCCACTGCGCCCGGCCTATAACCCATTTTATAATTCATTTACCAATTTCTCTAAATAACATTACTGCAAACCTCAGCACATATTTTTGAATGATGGTTGAAGGCTAGACTTACAGAAGATTTCAGCTCCAGAAGGGTGGTTCCCTCCTCCATTATTCATCTATTCAGGATAAAGTAAAAATCACTGTTTTAAGGACTGAGTATAGTTCAGGGATGATAAACATTTGCCAGCCTGATAAAAAATTTCCAGGAAGGCTGTAACTGCTCCAATGTTTAGCTTGTAGAAGTTGGTAATCCTCTTTGAAAGACCAGGGAAGTTAAACAAGGTGAATTGTAAGTTTGCTGCTATTTGAAATTACAAATCATTGAAAAACTGTCCACTAGAACACCTTAGGGAGTGAATGGCAGATAATAATGGTTTATGTGTGGTTGCAAAACAATAATGAACCTGTCTAATCAATTGTTCTGAATAGCAGTAGATCACAGTGGAAGGAAAAATACACATCCTTATTGACCCCTTGTGTATTCTGTTACATTTCATTCTTGTGACTTTTGAATGGTTTCCTTTCATACTTAATCATGCAGTGACAGATTAACCCTAAAATGGTTACCCTTAACTCTTCCTACAGGCAGCATTTAAAATAAATAACTGAAACCAGAGCAGAAGGTAAACCCAGTATCTTTGCCTCTTTATGGATATGATATATTCATGATAAAAACGCTAATATCAAATCTAAAATGAACATAAAATAAATCAATGCTAATCGTGGGTGAGGTTTTTGATTTAACAAAAGACTTAGTAAAATAAAAAATTCATAGTCATAAACAGAAAGAAAAATGAACTATGACCTGAGCTCATTTTATCCATTTAGGTTTATCTTCTAACAGATCCATAGTAGTGTGGCGAAACGTATTTTGCTGTGATCTGCAATCACTGATAAACTATGAAATGATTGCTTGTACTGGGCACATTAATTTTACATGTATGGACATGCCATATGTTCAGGGTTAAATTGTAGAAAGCAATCTCTTTGTCTGTTCTGCACACCCCAACCTCCCCCACTACATTTAGAGTTTCTACAGTGTTTACGTTAACACAGTTTATATAAGAAAGGTCTATTGAAATAATTAGTTTAGATTCACTTGTGCAGATGACTTGGCCAAAAACCCACTTGAAACACCAAGGGTCACCATTATCACCAACAAACTGAACTGTTATCAAATAACAATTTCATGTCATCCTGGGGTTAAATCTGCCACACAAGAAGTAATAGTCCTCTATCTGCTTCTCTTAAGATATTAAGAGAATCAAATGAGATAGAATTTAAACTTTAGAGGGTTAGAGTTTATTATTAATATCTTTCATTTATCTAACCAATTATTTTCTTCTAGTTCAGCTTACGTAGGAAAAATTCAAAATAAATATAATGTAATGATTTGTGTGAAATGATGCTAAAATCGTTCGGCTTTGTCTTAAACATTTATCTAATACCAACTGTCCAGATCCAAAGATGAAAAAAAAAACGGCATACAGGATCAGGATTTATAAATGGTTCTTTTCTTCTTGTGGTAATATGTTATGTTGAGCCATTCCAGTTCATTCAACAACTACTTCTTTTACTTGGTAATGAAAATGTGCACACTGACTGAGGGTAACGTCTCTGACTAGGGAAGTAGACACCTCCAAAAGTGGCCTACATGGGGTTTGATGTGAAGCCTTAATTTATTGCACTGTCACTTAAACACATAGTACAATGTTTTTGTAACTGTTAATTATGTATTGCTAAGTATTAATCAGCTATAAAAAGAAATGTGATTTGTATGTGTGTAAGTTTGATCCATTTATCTTACTAGTATTGATCTGCTATGAGTTTTCTTTTTAGATATCAAATTTTGGTGACAATACCACTAATGGAATTTGTGTCACGTTCACCTATACAAATTACTTTGCCGTATAGTATTTTAATTCAGTAAAACCTTTATTTAGAAATGTCATAATTTCTTTAACTCGATAACTAAATTGTCTCTAAATATAAAAATCTAGATTTAAATTAAATTGCACATTATTTTTGTAGTTATGATATCTGAGACTACCCTCTCCCTGAAGAGTATTTTTAAAAAGAGTTGGCTTTGCCTAGATTTAGATAAAATATCACAATCTAATTTGGAGTGGTAAACTATTCTGACGTTTTAACTTCCTTGTAATTTTATGACTACATTAGAAACTTTACAGTAAGAACAATAGTAGCCAACTCAATATAGATTTGTATACTGTATTTGGAGATACCCTCACATATACTTATGTATTTGTGTATGTATGTGTGTCTGTGTATTTAGATCTCTTTCTCCTACTATAGTGTTATAGTTTTAAGCTAATTGTCTCTTGGGTGCTTATAATCTTAAGGAAGATGCTTTTAAAACACTGCAATTGAACATTGACCTTCTTTTTCTTAATTTATTATTTACCTAATGCATACTTTTACCTATAAAAGAATCAGTGTAAGATGGAAAACTTTTAATTTGATTACTTATATATCAATTGCCAAAAGGCTGATTTCAGCAACAAAAAGTACAGCACTAACCTTTTTGTGGAATCCACTCTTTGATTATCCTTTCCTAATTACCTATCCTTCGACACCTAAAGCTTTTAATTTCTGTTTTTTTCTTGATGGGTGATCTATTATAGTCTTTCAAGCCAGGTGGTTCTGCTGATATGTTTAATAATTTCAGTTACTATGCTTTGTAACATTTTGATCATATATAATACTACGCCTTCTAAATTTGATTCTTCTTCATTCAGGAAGCAGGAATTCTGAAGAGTAAATTGATTCATATTTGACAACACAGATTTGTGATACTCTAAAAATACCAGGTTTCTCACATTTTCCTTCTCCTTTTATTATATATTATGAGATATAGATTTCCATGTATGTATTATAAATATTCTAAGCTAAATATATGTAGGTAGTAATTCAAATCATTTATACTTAACACAATCTATCTACTGCTGACTGCTGTTTGTGACTATGTGCATTAGCAACATTTTTTCAGATGATATTATGTGAATTTAAAACGACTTAATAGTCATATACTTTGCACAGCGCTAGCTGTCTGTTGCTTCAGGATGTAACCCTATTCCCGCCTTTTCCCATGCTTTGTTGCCACAGATCTTTCTGCGTGGCCTCAAATTAAGGCATTTTCTTCCCTCGTGACCTGCTTTAAATTTTTTTGGAATGTGAATAATTGTGATGACAGAATTAATTTGAGTATGAAAAATATGAGAGAAAAAAGTCTATTACATTTTGCTCAAGTTAATTGTCAATGTTGTGAAACTGGATAGTAATAACAAACCAACTTCTGTAATGTCAAATCAAAGGTAATTTCTGAAGTTGATTTTTTGAGTTGTTTCAGGGTTTAATACAGTGCCAGTGATGAAATGAAAAGTAACAATTATTACCTATTTAATGATAAATTTAGGAGAAAATATTCAATTCCAGTTGTGTATTTTAAATGAGGATTTCCAAAATTCTCAAATTTACTAACTTCGTTCTTAGTGTTATACCGCAGGATGATGTGTCATTTTAGGGACACGAAGAAAAGAACAGTAAGTTAATAAGGAATTGTTCACCTTAAAGAAAACTTGAATCTTAATAGGGAAAAAGGAACAATAGAAGCACTAGTTAAAACTGTTGAAAAGAAACAAGTACAGGCCAGGCGCTGGTGGCTGAAGCCTGTAATCCCAGCATCAGTAGCTCATGTTTGTAATCCCAGCACTTTGGGAAGCTGTAGTGGGAGGATCACTTGAGTGCAGGAGTTAAAGACCAACCTGGGCAACATAGCAAGACCCGTCTCTTAAAAAAGTAAAAAATAAGAAAAGAAAGAAAGAAACAAGTACAAAACTCAAATTTTATTAATAGTTCATATGCTAATAGCATAACTACAAGAAGATACTCAAAAAAAATGCCTACATAGAAAAAAAAAGGATAAGATAACATCCATTAAAATTGGAAAATGGATTACCATATAAAATAGGGTTTCTGCGTTTTTTTCCACAGATTTTACATAAAATATTTTATCCTTTTGACCAAAACAACAAAAAAAGTGAAACATCATTAATAATATTATTTGGTAATGTGGACCAATGAACTATATTATAAAGTAGTACTATAATACTAAACAAACCTATTAAACTTCCTATAAAGAAATTTTTTTTCACCTAAAGCAAATATTCATTTAATAACTTTTTGATTTATTTATTATACACATCCTGCTGAATTTATATTTAATTCTCTTAATGTCTAAATTTGATCATCACAGTAAAATATACTTTAGCAAAAGAAAATTGACAAATGAAAACAAGAATATTATGACTTTTTTATCTCAAGTTTATATACTTTTCTGAATATGCTAGTTTGCATGCTATATAGACTATACATTGAAAACAAAATTGCAAAACCATTGCTTGCTTGATAACTCCATTTTTGAAAAAGAGTCTTTCAGTAAACTTTGTTCTGCTCCAAGAGAACAGAGCTCCTTTTAAAAATGTAGCAAATAGTTTCAGCATGATCTTTTCCTTTATGTTTTATTTAAAATGTTAATGGAGTAAATCCACAATTCACATAATTTATTTTGAAATACTATTGTTCAGAATAATGCATCATGAGAACAGTGATATACAGGCAAGTTCCCTTAAAGAACATGCATCAGTTCAGTTCCCTTTTGAAGCATATTGCAAATGCCCTCTAACAGGGCACAGCAACATTACATAAATCATCTTATATGAAAAATTAACATGACATCAAATATTTATAAATATTAATGTGTATGTTAATATAACCAAAGCTGTAACAAACAATCGTAACCTTGCCAAGTTACCTAGGACAGGCGCTGCTGATAATCATATCCATTATCTCTGGAGGAACGTACAATTATGAAAGTTATACACAGGATGCTATGTTTTTAGCTGCTTTTAAATTTATCCATTAGATGTCTGCCTTACATATAATATTAACCCTTTGCACATACATTCTTAAGAAATATGTAGAAGGCAGCTCATGTGGATAAATACTTTAAAAATCATTTTTATTTAATCATTTACCTGGAAAGTCCCTATATTTTAACATAACTTTATCATAATTGCAGTATATGATGTCCTACAGAAAGCTCACTTGGGGTTGATCTCATTAACCTGTGTTAAATACCACATATGCATTTATACATATGCATGCTACGCCTTAAGAAGGCCACACTTTGCAAAGGTAGATTGGTGATTTGTGGCTATGCAATGTGATGTACTATGCTAGCTCCAGTCCCTCAGGAAAGTCTCTGTGTTGAGGATGGGGTGGGGATGGGGAGTTCTTGGGCTTGCCTGGGCTCAGTAGGGTCAAGTCCATAGTTAAAATTTTTAGTGACTCACAGACCATAGGCATAGTCAGCCAGACAAAGTTTTGCTTGGGGTTCTTTTTTCACTTCAACTCTTTTCGTGGGTAGGGTGAATCAATGCATAGTACAGCAATGTGATTCAGACAGAAGGAGAAAAGGACCACCATTTTATACATGTGCATATAGGGCAGGATCAGGCAAGTCTGGCTCAGAGTCCAGTAGGTTTTCATGGGCACAGCAAGAAGATCACGTTAGAGGCTAAACATACTTCTGGATTGAAGATGTTTTGCTTCACCAAAAGAGAGTTCTTCAGTAAGCAGCATCTGAATCCAACTGTCTAAATCTGTGCCCAAGCCAGAGCATTCTTCATTCTAAAGCACCGAACTTCTGTTTTCAGCCTGACTCCTCGGTGTTACAAAGAGACTATTGTTTTGTGGAAATAGACTCTGATGACTGTGCTCTGCATCACTTACAGGTGGAAATGGGTTTAGCCCTAGGTGTGGTGGAGAAGTGTGACCTTGTTTTCACATTAAAGTTTTTTTGTACATCTCTGGGATCTACGATTGACTTTGGGGCATTTTGACTGTGGATAATAATGCTGATTCAACCTACTTACTCTCTGAAAAACTAAATATGGAATGAGTCATGTCTCGAGTGGTCAGAAAATGCCACTCGAAAATATCTTCCAATTAGAGATTCATTTTATTGCAAATCTGTACAAATAATATGGACTTTAGGTGGGATGTTCAGCCTGATACATATTTTAGTACTAATTGTTTTAATCAGATAAGAAACAAATACTTATCTGGTATCATTTTTAAGTGGGTCAGAATTTTGAATGGGATGCAAAGGAAAAGGGTGAATTAGAGTAGACATTACTTTGTTACTTGTTAATTTAAATATGTATTTTAGACATACGCTTTCAAATCCCCCAAATTGCATTGTCATATTTTGCTACCAGCAATTTTATGCTCTATATTATCATTTATTTTTGGCCCCTATGGACTCATTCCCATGATCCCAAGCATGTAGTTATTACTTCTATCTTTAAAAAAAAAAAAAAAGGCAAGGAAAGGGGGCTTTTCCTTGATTTCCCTATCAGCTACACCCTCTTTTTTGTTTTATTTTATTTTACTTTCTTTATTTTATTCACTGTTTTTTAGGAAAACTCCTTAAAGGGCTTGCCTATGCTGGATGTTTCTAAATGTTCTACTCTCATCTCCTTTAAATCCAATGAAAGTTTTATCATCACCATTCCACAGAAAACACTTTTGTCAAGATGGCCCAAGATCTCCATGCTGCTAAATCCCAACGTCAATTTTAAGCCTTCATTTTACGGTGGCATTTCCCCTTATCCACAGGGAATAAGTTTTAAGACCCCAGTAGATGCCTGAAACTGGGATTATTACCAAATCCTATGGATCCGGTGTTAAAGGAAGCACTTTGTGGTTTCTCTTTGGCAGATCTGCATTGCTAGCCTTACTACTTGCACACCTGGGGGCCATCATTAAGTAAAATAAGGGTGACTTGAACACCAGCACTGTGATACCACAACAGTTGATGTGATCATCGAGATGGAAGGGGCGAGTAGCACACACAGCGTGGATGCGCTGGGCAATGGGAAGATTCACCATCCCAGCAGGGGCGAGTAGCACACACAGCGTGGATGCGCTGGGCAATGGGAAGATTCACCATCCCAGCAGGGGCGAGTAGCACACACAGCGTGGATGCGCTGGGCAATGGGAAGATTCACCGTCCCAGCAGGGGCGAGTAGCACACACAGCGTGGATGCGCTGGGCAATGGGAAGATTCACCGTCCCAGCAGGGGCGAGTAGCACACACAGCGTGGATGCGCTGGGCAATGGGAAGATTCACCATCCCAGCAGGGGCGAGTAGCACACACAGCGTGGATGCGCTGGGCAATGGGAAGATTCACCGTCCCAGCTGGACAGTGAGATTTCATCCCTCCCCTCAGACCAGCGTGCAATTTAAAACTCATGAACTGTTTATTTCTGGAACTTTCTATGTAATATATTCAGACTGTAGTTGACTGCAGTTGAACTCAAACATCAGGAAGTGAAACTGCAAAAAAGTGGGAAGGGACTTATCGTACTTGAACCCATCAGGTCACAGCTTCTCACTTTCTCCGCCTGCACACTTTCCTTCATTTGGCTTTCTGGACACCGTTCTCTCCTGATTGTTCTACTATACTGGCCACGCCTTTTCAGCCTCCTTCACTGATTCTTATTCCCACAGTTTTAATGTTGCCCCAGGGCTCAGCCTTTGTTCTTTCTTAATCTTTCTAGACTCACTCCCTTGGTGAACAACACTGTAGTCTCGAGGCTTTAAGTGCAGGTTATATGCTGACATCTCCTATACTTACATTTCCAGTTCAGATCTCTCTTTCCCTTCTTAACTTCAGATTCACATATGAAATTATCTACTCGACATTTCCACTAGATTGTGTAAACGGGTAGTTTCAGCAGGGTGCTGTGGCTCACGCCTGTAATCCCAGCACTTTGGGAGGCCAAGGTGGGTGGGGCACCTGAGGTAAGGAGTTTGAGACCAGCCTGACCAATATGGTGAAACCCCATCTCTACTAAAAATACAAAAATTAGCTGGGCATGGTGGCACGTGCCTGTAGTCCCAGCTACTCGGGAGGCTGAGATAGGAGAATTGCTTGAACCCAGGAGGCAGAGGTTGCAGTGCACCGAGATCACGCCATTGCACTCCAGCCTGGATAACGGAGTGAGACTCCATCTCAAAATAAATTAAAAAGTAAATAAATAAATAAACAAATAAATGGGTAGTTTCAAATAAAAACTCCTGAACTCTAAAATTAACTCCTTCTGCAGTCTTTCCCATCTCAGTCAATGGCAGCACTGACACTTCAAGTTATTCCAGACAAAACCCTTGGTGGTCTTATTTGACTCCCCCACGCTGTCACTCTTCTCCTCTAATTCATCAGGAAATAGAGTTGTACTTGTTTTATTGTGCTTTGCAGAAATCACATATTTTACAAATTGAAGGTTTGTGGTAACCCTGAGTCGAGTAAGTCTAATGGTACCATTTTTCCAACAGCGTGTGCTCACTTCGTGTCTCTGTGTCACATTTGGTAATTATAGCAACATTTCACATTTTTCATGATTATTACATCTGTTATGGTGACCTGTGATCTTTGATGTTACTATTGTAATTGTTTTGGGGTGCCATGAGCCATGCCTATATAAGACTGCACACTTCATCAATAAATGTTGTGTGTGTTCTGATTACTCCACTGATTGGCTGCTTCCCCATCTCTCTCCCTCTCCTCAGGCCCATCTAGTCCCTGAGACAAGAATATTGTCTTTAGGCTAGTTATTAACACTGCAATGGTCTCTAAGTGTTCAAGTGAAAGGAAGAGTTGCACATCTCTCACTTACATCAAAAGCTAGAAATGATTAAGCTTAGTGAGGAAGGCGGGTACAAAGCAAAATAAGTCAAAAGCTAAGTCTCTTGTGCCAAAGTTAGTCAAGTTAAGAATAAAAAGGGAAAGTTCTTAAAGGAAATATAAAGTGCGACTCCAGTGAAAACTCATGAATGATAAAAAAGTGAAACAGCTTCACTGCTGATACAGAGAATGTTGTAGTGGTCTGGATAGGAAAAAACAAACAAAAAACAAACAACAACAACAACAATAACAACAAAACAGCCATGAAATTCCCTTAAGCCAAAGCCTAGTCCCGAGCAAGGCCATACATTTCTTCAATTCTAAGAAGGCTGAGAGAGACGAGGAAATTGCAGAAGAAAAATCTGAAGCTAGCAGAGGTTGGTTCAAGAAGTTGGTTTAAGGAAAGAAGCCACTTCCATGACATAGAAGTACCAGGTGAAACAGCAAGTGCTGACGGAGAAGCTGCAACAAGTTATCCACAAGATCTAGCTGAGGTCATTGATGAAGACTACACTAAAAAACAGATTTTCAATGTAGATGAAAACAGCTTTGCATGGGAAGATGATGCCACCTCAGACTTTCATAGCTAGAGACAAGTCAGTGCCTGGCTTTGAAGCTTCAGAGGACAGGCTGAGTCTCTTTTAACTAGCTAATGTAGCTAGTTACTTGAAGTTGAAGCCAATGCTCATTTATCATTCCAAAATTCCTAAGGCCCTTAAAATTATGCTAAATTTACTCTGCCTGTGTTCTGTAAAAGGAATAAAACCTGGATGACAGCACATCTGTTTACACCATGGTTTATTGGAAATTTTAAGACCACCGTTGAGACCTACTGCTCAGAAAAAAATGATGCCTTTCAAAATATGACTGTTCACTGATAACATACCTGGTCACCCAAGAGCTCTGATGGAGATGCGCAGATATTCACACCTGCTAATACCACATCCATTCTGCAGTCCATCAGTCAAGGAGTAATTTCAACTTTCAAGTCTTATTATTTAAGAAATACATTTTGCAAGACTGTCACTGCCATAGATTTTTATTCTCTGATGGATCTGGACAAAGTCAGTTGAAAACCTTCTGGAAAAGGTTTGCCATTCTAGATCCAATTAAGAACATTTGAGATTCATGGGAGGAGGTCAACATTAACAGGAGTTTGAAAGAAGTTGATTCCAACCCTCATGGATGACTTTGAGCATTTCAAGACTTCAGTGGAGTAAGTTGCTGCAGACATAGTAGAAATTAAAGAGAAATAGAAGTGGAGGCTGAAGATGAGTCTGCATTTCTGCAATCTCATGATCAAACTTGAACAGATAAGGAGTTGCTTCTTATGGAAGAGCAAAGAAAGTGGTTTCTTGAGAGGGAAACTACTCCTGGTGAAGATGTTGTGAACATTGTCAAAATGACAATAAAGGATTTACAATATTCCATACACTTAGTTGATAAAGCAGTGGAAAGGTTTGAGAGGATTGACTCCAATTTTGAAAGAAGCTCTACTGTAGGTAAAATGCTATCAAATAGCATCACACACTATGGAGAAATCTCTTGTGAAAGGAAGACGTAATCAATGGGGCAACTTCACTGTTGTCTTATTTTAATAAATTGCCACAATCACCCCAACCTTCTGCACCTACCACCCTGGTTAATCAGTAGCCATGAACACTGACGCAAGATACTCCATCAGCAAAAATATTATGGCTTGCTGAAGGCTCCAATGATCTTTAGAATTTTTTAATGATAAAATTTAAAACTTAAGGTATGTACATTGTTTTTTAGACATAATGCTATTAAATGTTTAATAGTATAGTGTAAACATAACTTTTATATGCACTGGGAGACCAAAAGAAACCATGTGACTCACGTTATTGTGATATTAGCTTTATGGCAGTGGTCTTTATTGAAGTGGTCTTTAGCTCTACATTAAAAGCATATCCAGAGTCTAACCTAGTCTTACCACTTCCATAGGTATTATCCTTAGCCACCAACGTTATTTTGCCTATGTTATTGCAATAGCCCAACTACTCTCATTATATCTACACCTGACTCCTTATTGTCTATATTCTCAATCCAGAAGCCAGAGTGCACCTTTTAAAATGCGAGTCAGAGGCCAGGCGGGGTGGCTCACATCTGTAATCCCAGCACTTTGGGAGGCCGAGTTGGGCGGATCACTTGAGGTCAGTAGTTCGAGACCAGCCTGGCCAACATGGTGAAAACCCGTCTCCACTAAAAATACAGAAGTTAGCCGGGTGTCGTGTGGGCGCCTGTAATCCCAGCTACTCGGGAGGCTGAGCCAGGGTAATCACTTGAACCCGGAGGGCGGAGGTTGCAGTGAGCCAAGATCATGCCACTGCACTCCAGACTGGGCAACAGAGTGAGACTGCATCTCAAAAAAATAAATAATAAATAAAAACAAAATGGAAGTCAGAACATGGCATGCCTTTGCTCAAAATCCTACAATGCGTATACAAGTCAGTCAGAGAGAAAGCCATGGTCCTATAATATCTTACTAGGTCTTGCATGATCTGATCCTCTGTTACCCCTTTGACCTCAACTTCTAGAACCTTCCTCCATTTTTATAACACCTCAGGAATCCTGGTCTGCTTGCTGTCCCTTGAACACATCAGGCATACTTGGTACCGGACACTGGCTATTCACTTGCTCAGAACAGTTTTGATGCACTCCCTCATTTCTTTTTAGCACTTCCTTGAAGTCTTTATTCAAATTTCCTTTTCTCAAGGAAGTTTCATTTGACTACCTTTTTTAAAGTTGCAAATGACCCTTCTTCCAACCACCAGTACTGATCCCACATACCCTGCTTTGTCACAAATATATTTTCATAGCTCTTATTACTTTATAACATTCTAGATAATTTACCTATTTGTTACATATATGTATACATACAAGCAAATACATGTGTATATACACACACGTGTGTATATACACAACACACATATATATGTAGGTACATATGTGTAGTTGTGCATCGCTTGGCAGAGATACATTCTGAGAAATGCCTCCTTAGGTAATTTCATCATTGTGTAAACATCACAGAGAGCAATTACACAAACCTAGATAGTACAGCCTACTATACATCAGGGCTATATGGTAGGGCCTATGGCTCCTAGGCTACAAACCTGTACAGCATGTGACTGTACTAAGTACTGTAGGCAGTTGTAACACAATGGTAAGGAATTGTGTGTCTAAGAACATCAAAACATAGAAAGGTTCAGTGCCTGAACCTCTCTTCAAGGGACTAACCAAAAGTGAAGAAGAGAAAGGAGTGTGTGTGTGTGTGTGTGTGTGTGTGCGCGCACGCACGCATGTGTGTATTTGTGTGGTAATGAAAAAACTGTCAGTGGACTCACAATTTGTAGATTATGTTTATCTAAAAACTATGGGGAGGACAGGTGCAGTGGCTCACACCTCTAATCCCAGCACTTTGAGAGGCTGAGGCAGGAGGATCACTTGAGTCTAGGAGTTTGAGACCAGCTTAGGCAACACATGGAGACCATGTTTCTACAAAAAATTATAAAATTAGCCAGGCACGGTGGTATGTACTTGTAGTCCCAGTTACCTGGGGATCTGAGGTGGGAGCTTGAGCCCAGGAGTTTGAGGTTGCAGGGAGCCTTGGTCATGTCACTGCACTCCAGCCTGGATGACAGAGCAAGACCCTATCTAAAATGAAATAAACTGTGTGTTTTTTTCCATAGTTTCTGATCTGCCATTTAAGGAGCTTAGAAGTCTCCACTCTGTCCTAAGAACAAGAAAAAAACACTGAATGAACTGGAAATCAACAACTTCTTTAGGTCCCTCAAAGAAGGGAGGTCACAGGGAAAGCTGCTGCCCCCAAATTTGGAGAGATAAATGGGCAGGTACATAGAATCACAATTCTCTGTATCCGTGGAGCAGAAACCCACCTGCAGAAACCTCTGCTGGAACCAGTGCCAGGGAGGTAAACCGGAACCGTAATTGATGAATTGCTGAAGGCTCCGTGTGGCCAAGTCTGAGAGATAAAAACTCCACGGAGACTCAGTCGAGGGGCCTTCACACTTTTGTGAGTTTTAAGAGCTCTACCAGTTCTTCCTGGTGTATATAGGAGAAATATTTCTTCGTGCTTCGGCAGGGAGAGAGGAAAAGGAGCCATTTCGAAATACATCGGAGCATTTTGTTTTTCTTAACAAGTTCCGCCCTCAGGAGAAACTTTTACCAGATCCTAACTTGCTGGAATTTTGTCAGAGCCTAATCTACCTGGGGGGAGGGAAATACTCATCTCTAGCCCCTTCCAGCCATTCTCTCCCACCCAAGGGAGGGAGGGCTGAGAAGCAATGGTGACAACAGTTCCAGTCCAAAGGCACAGACTTACTGAAAGACTGAGACCCTGTCATGGGACTACGGAATGCTTCCTCTCCCTTGACACCTGACCACCACATCGCTAATGGCCTATTTTTTTGCAGTTCTTTTGTACCCAGAACATTATGTCTGCCTTTCAACAACCTACAGATCAAATCTCTCATGAGCACAGAGACAAAAATCTTCAACAAAGTATTAGCAAATCAAATCCAACAATGTATAAAAAGTATTATATACCACGGCCAAGTGGGGTTTATCCCAGGTATGTAAGGCTGGTTCGACAATCAATTAATGTAATCCATCACATTGACAAGCTAAAGAAGAAAATTTACATGACCATTTTCATAGATGCAGAAAAGACATCTGATAAAATCTAACACCTATTCATAATGAAAACCTCTCAGTAAACTAGGAACAGTGAGATATGTTCTCAATTCTTAAAAAATCTACAAAAAAAGGTGGAGGGGGGAGCTGGCACAGTTACAGGCTCATGCCTGTAATCCTAGCACTTTAGGAGGCCAAGAAGGGTGGGATGCTTGGGGCCAGGAGTTCAAGATCAACTTGGCCAACATAGCTAGACCCCCATCTCTAAAAAAATAAATAAAAAATAAAATTTAAAAATCTACAAAAAAACCCCTACAGCTAACATTATACTTCATAGTGAGAAACTTGAAGCTTTCCCACTAAGATCAGGAACAAAGCCAGGCTGTCCTGTCTTACCACTGCTTTTCATCATTGTACTTGAAGTACTAGCTAATTCAATAAGACAAGAAAGGCAAATAAAATGTATATGGATTGGGAATGAAGAAATAATACTGTCTCTGTTCGTGCATGACATGATTGTCTGCATAGGATCTGAAAGAACTGACAAAAAAACCTCCTGGAATTAATAAGTAATTAATGATAATCATCATAATTATAATTATTATAATTATAGCAAGTTTACAAGAAACAAGTTTAATATGCAAAAATTGATCACTTTTCTGTATAGCAGCAATTAACATCACATTAATTTGAAAATAAAAATGCACCATCATATGCATTAGCACGTAAAAAATGAAGTACTTAGGTTTAAAGCTACAAAACTCTGATTTAAGATATGAAACAAGAAATATGTAAATGGAGAGATTACTCATGGATGAGAAGAATCAATATTTTCAAGATGTCAGTTCTTCCCAACTTGATCTACAGATTCAATTCAACTGCAATTAAATCTTAGTAAGTTTTTTTGTGCATAACTTAGAGTTGACAAACTGATTCCAAAGTTTATATGGAAAAAAATATCCAGAATATTAAAGGAGAAGAGCAAAGTCAGAGGACTGATGCTATTCAACTTCAAGACTTACTAGAAAGCCACAATAATCAAGAAAGTGTGGTGTTGGTGAAAGAATAGACAAATATATCTATGGAACAGAATAGAAAGTCTAGAAACAAATCAATATAACTATAGCTTGCTGATCTTCAACAAAGGAGCAAAAGCAATACAGTGGAGCAAAGATATTCTTTTCAATAATGCTGGAACAACTGGACATCCACATACAAAAAAATAAGTCTAGACACACACCTCACAATGTTCACAAAAATTAACTCAAAATGGGTCAGAGACCCATATATAAAGTGTAAAACTATAAAACTGGAAGATAACACAAGAGAAAATCTCAGTGACCTTGGCTTTGGCAATGACTTATTAGATACAACACTAAACACATCATCCGTGCCTTTGTCAATAAATATGATCAAGAAAGAATTGATAAGCTGGGATTTATTAAACTTAAAATCTTTTGCTCTGCAAAAGACAGTGTCAAGAGAATGAAAAGACGAGCCACAGACTAGAAGATATTTGCAGAAGACACAGCTGATGAAGAACTGTTATCCAAAGTATACAAAGAATACCTAAAACTCAACAATAAGAAAATTAACAACTTGATTAAGCATTGGGCCAAAGATGTCAGACACTACACCAAGGAAGATACACAATGACAAGTAGGCATATGAAAAGATATTCAACATTATATATAATTTGGGAAATGCAAGTTAAAACAATGAGATACCACTACACAACTATTAGAATGGCCAAAATCCAAAACATGATGGTACCAAATGCTGGTGAGAATGTAGAGCAACAGGAACTTTCATTTATTGCTGCTGGTAATGCAGAGTGGTGCACTTTGAAAAACAGTTTGTTCATTTCTTACAAAACCAAGCACACTCTCCAAAACTTGCAAACAACCAATATATCCTTTAGTAGTTGATTGGATAATTAAATGTGGTATATCCAGATCATGGAATATTATTCAATGCTAAAAACAAATGACCTATCTGGCCAAGAAAAGGCATGGAAGTTGTATTAGTCTGTTCTCACGCTGCTGTGAAGAAATACTTGAGACTGGGTAATTTACAAAGGAAAGAGGCTTAATTGACTCACAGTTCCGCATGGGTGGGGAGGCCTCAGGAAACTTACAATCATGATGGAAGACACCTCTTCACAGGGCAGCAGGACAGAGAATGAGTGCCAGCAGGGAAATGCCAGACACTTATAAAACCATGTCATCTCAACATCACAACTCACTCACTATCATGAGAACAGCATGGGGGAACCACCCCCATGATCAAATCACTTCCTACTGGGTCCCTCCTATGACACGTGGGGATTATGGGAACTACATTCAAGATGAGATTTGGGTGGGGACACAGCCAAACCATATCAGAAGCCACTTCAATGCATATTACTGAGTGAAAAAAGCCAGTCTGAAAAGGCTACATACTATATGATTCCAACTATATGACATTCTGGAAAAGGCAAAACTATGGAGACAATCAAAAGATTAATGGTTGCCACAGTTTTGGGGGAGGAAGGCATGAATAGGCTGAGCACAGAGGAATTTTAGGGCAGTTAAACTCTTCTGTGTGTTCTACAATGATGGATACATGTCATATATTTGTCCAAACTGATAGAATGTACATACTAAGAGTGAATCCTAATGTAAACTATGGACTTTGGGTAATAATGATGTGTCATCAATGTAGGTTCATTGATTGTACAAATGTACCACTGTGTTGTGGGATGTTGATTGTAGGGGGGACAGGATATATGGGAACTCTGTATTTTCTGCTTGATTTTGCTGTGAACCTAAAACATCTCTAAAAAATAAAACAAATTAATTTTTAAAAAACGTAACTGGTGACTTTGGCCATATCTTTTATTTTTCTGGGCCTCAGTCTTCTCATTGATAACATGAGAGTGCTGGACTATATCAATGTCCATTGAGTCACATGATAATATGGATAGTACGGACCAGAGAAGTAATAGGAAGAAAACATAACCAAGCTAAAACCATTGCTGCCAAGCAGTGGCTGGGGGAAAGGGTGAATGAGAAAAGAGAAAGCTGCCTTGCTAGCCTGAAAATTTTTACATGGAAAACACTGAACTAGATATCCTCTGAAATTATGTTATCAAAGTCTATCAGGTGTTTTCTTAGCCTAGAATTTCCTCTGTCTCCCATTCCCTGCCTTGGGAAAAGCCTACTTCTCATTGAGTACAAGATCAAGGCAACTCTACAGCACTTAGCTAATGTTTCAACTATTGTACTGGTTATATTGAGCCTGATACATTTAAGGCACCCAAAGAATGATTATTGAATGAATAACTGAACTGTAACTGTTTTATATATTTAACTTTCTGTCATAATTTGTGAGTTTTTCAAGGGTGGGGACTCCAAGTCTTATAATTTTTCTGCTTCCAGCACCAAGGGTAGTATGTGAAATAACAAGCATCCAATGATTGTTTCTTGAATTTTCCAAATATAGATATAGAGGAAACTGGCAACAATTGGAAGGACTGGAGGGTTTGTAGATATTTTATTTTTATTTTTGAGACAGAGTCTTACTCTGTCACCTAGGCTGGAGTGCAGGGGCATGATCTTGGCTCACTGTAACCTCTGCCTCCTGGGTTCAGGCAATTCTTCTGCCTCAGCCTCCTGAGTAGCTGGGATTACAGGCACCCGACACCATGCCTGGCTAATTTTTGTATTATTCCAGAGATGAGGTTTCACCATGTTGGCCAGGCTGATCTCGAACTCCTGACCTCAAGTGATCTGCCTGCCTCAGTCTTGCAAAGTGCTGGAATTATAGGCATGAGCCACTTTGCCTGGCTGGATTTGTGGATTTTGTTCATGTATTCCCTATTTTAAAAAATAAAATAGTTGACCTTAGAGTCCTGGCCAAAAATAAATAAATAAAATAGTATATGTATACACACTAAGCATAATTTCATTTGTATATGTTGCATGTATTTCATATAAACAACTAAACACAAACCTAGTGTTATCTCTAAAATGGGGATTTTGCCCAATAGTACCCACCTGGCTCTAACTCAACTAAAGAAAACACAGGCTCATGTAATTTTCCTTAACAGAAGATGTTTATTACTTATGCATTTTAATAGAGGTATCTATGTCTGTCTCTACATCTATAAACATATATATTATATAATCAATCTTTAGTGTCAGTTCATTAGAATTTCTACATTCATATCTGAAATGTAATGGTATGGCAATATGGATTGTGGCGAAGAAGAAAAGAAAAAAAGAAGTTCCCTAAAAACGATTGGAATAAAATTCTAAAAATAAATACATAAATAAAATGAAGAAGGAGGAGGAGGAAGAGGAGAAAAAGCGAGGGGATTATTAATATTTTGAGTGGTTTAAATATAATAGTTGTCAAAAATTCTCAGACTAAATTCTATGCATTTCATTCATAGGAACTTCATAGTTGTCAAAAAATTCTTGGACTAAATTTTATGCATTTGATTCACAGGAACTTCTAAAATTCTTTCTCAACAACTGCTTTTAATTCTAACAACTGCACATGATTCTAACAAACTGATTATATGGCTTTGAAATGCATAGTGGTTTAGATATAGACAGTCAGAGAGTCTTCCTATTGAAATGAGGCATTGAAAAGAGGAAAGCTGATCCCAAAAATATTAAAACCAGATAGAATTACTCAAAAAGCAGGGTAGTCTGACTTCAGTTACTATAAAGGGCAAATATCTGGACATTCTTTGGTATTTTCCAAGACCAACATTGTGCAATATTTATAATGATGGTCCTGCCTCATTGGGAAAGAAATTAAATGATGAGTATATCTTAGCATATTCTGGTGAAGAAATTTGGGAACAATTCACTTAAATAGAGTCCCATCCAATTGTTTAAAAGTAGCAAGAGTGAATCACTTCTTGATGTTTTCTGAATGTTTCTTAATGTTCAAAGTAAAAATCTTTAATTAATTCTCTCTTCCTCTCTGTCTCTCTCTTCCCCTTCTCTTGTCCTCAACACCCTCCCTTCCTCTCCCCCACACTTCTCCCACCACACACACATTTGCTCGTATTTGTAATACTTATTTGGTGTTTGACTTGTTTCAGACTAACTTTACTAGCATGGTGGGCGTATATTTTAAGAAAATACGGATGTAATGAGATTTTGGTACTTGAAAATAATCTAACATTTTCATTTCATATATGCATTGGTATATATTCATTATTCATTTAAGTCCAGTCAACTCTCAATTATCTCAGGTAATAGAGAGGAAGGATAGAAGGAACAGGTGAAATCTATTCCTACTCCCCAAACACAATTTTCATTCTCCTCTCTGTGAGTTCTTTACAAGACAGTGATACCTCCTTTCCCCTTCTTTGTAGACGCATTTCAATTGTGGAATGACCTTAAGAAAAACAACCCAAGAGAAAAAGAGAAGCAAGCACATGGATGATCTCAAATCCGCTTTAAAATTAAGATAGCAAATGAAATCTTTAAGTCTATTAAAAGAAAACAAACGGAAATGATTTTTCCAGTGTTGTCTCCGGAAGCACAAGTCACTTCCAGATAAAACAGTTGTTTGTCCTTTGTTAAACTGCACCGACTATTTTGCAAACCATTTAATCATTTAAAAAGCCAGCTTTTTATAAGTATAAATGTGTCTTAACCTTCAGAATACCAGTTAGATTTTCAGTGTGAATGTCTTGATACATTTTATAATCTGCAGATGAGGAGGGCCAATAAGACTCTGTTTAATAACATTATTAAATACTGATGTTAGACAAAGTCTTACAAGCATGTCATCCAGACTGTTAGCAGTAGAGCAGGCCTCCTAGCTGTTCCTTAACTAGCAATAATATTGACCTTTTTAGTAAGTGTGAGCAGCATTTATCCAAGGGAGGAGAATCAATATCGAGCTGAAACTCCAAGTTCTTGACAGCTAATCCTAAAAACATCACTCAGTGGAGATTCCGGGATGGCAATTAGCATAAACGCAAAAATGAAAAGATCATGTAAACAAATGTGCTCAACTTTGTATACGGTTTTTATATTTGGCATTTATTGAACAAGGAGGAGAATGGGAAACAGAACTTGAAGACTGCTCTTTGTTTTCCCTAGAAAAGCTGCATTAAGTAGAGTAAAATAAAATCCTTTTAGACACATAGAAAATTACACTACGATTTAACACCTATTGTGCTGAGGGATGTCAATAGTCATTGATTACTTTCTCTGTGAAGACCCAATGAAATCTTATAAACTAGTGTTAACTTTGAGGCTACAAAGGGTCAGAATGTTTTAAAACACTATTAGTGATAATGTTTTTTCTCCTTCATCTGAAGAACCTCATCAAATGAGTGTTGTGCACAAAAGTCTGTTTTCCCCACAAGGTGATGAGGGGAGGGAAAACGGTCAGTCCGTGAATGTGGCTGAGAAACTGCCCTAAGAGAAAACACGGCAGCTCATCTGTGGGGTTGGGGTTTTGTTGGGGAGGGCGCGCTATACTCTATTTGTGGTCAGGTCAATAAAAAGTCCAATATTTGGAAGAAAGGAGAAAAATGTAGTCATTCATTTTTTATTTTTTAGAGAGAGGATTTCCCTCTGTCACCCAGGCTGGAGTACAGTGGCACAATCATAGCTCACTGCGGCCTGGAACTCCCGGGGTCAAGTGATCCTCCGGCCTTGGTTTCCTAAAGCCGTGGGATTACAAGTGTGAGCCACCCTTTCCAGCCAGTAATTTTTTAAAATGTAAAAATAGAAGAAAGAAGAGTGTATACCATGGATGGAATTTTTCTAGCTTTACGGTCAAGACTTTAAGAACTGAGAAAATGTGTTACTTGTGGCCTGGGCTGGGGTCTTGAGAGAGAAGCTGAATTAAATGTTAACTCTATTTACAACAAATTGGTCACCAATCCTTCCTCTATGGCTCCACCTTCCTGAGTAAATCTGTTACAGCAAACAGAGCTTGGATCCTCCAGCCTGTCTTGAGGTATGCCAAGACAGCTTCCTTCAAGATAAGGAAATAAATCTCTTACAACTGCCTTCCTTGAAATGGGGAAACTGGCCTTAGGTGGCAGAATCCCAATGGTATGTTAGAAAATAAAGGACCTAAGGAAAAGACTCCTTTGCTGTCTGCCCATAGAAGCATGTCCATCTGTGGGTCCACATTTGTCTCAGTGTATTATCTTTCCATTGCACGTGCATCCATAAACACTTTCGCCGCTTTCTTGAATATGAACATCCTTCTTCAATTGAGTACATGCCCTTTAAAAAGGTGTTCTGTATTTGGCTTTCAAGAATCTGGCCATTCTAGACAAAAAGGCACCAGAGGAGTTCTTATGATTTATCATGTCTATGATCCATGAATTAAAAGGCCTCAGTGAGTGAGACCATTATGGTTTATTGCTTCTGGAAGCTGAGTACTACAGAGTGTATGAAGAGAAGCTGGCATTAATGCCTGAACAATAAAAGTCCCTAAATGCTGATTTACCTGTCAGACTGAATTGGCTCTGAAAGAAGGCTAATTAAAAAAAAAAAAAAAAAAAAAAAAGAGAAGAAGACTTGTATATCCGGATACAGTCTTTTTATTCCAAAGTTTTAATAAAAATCTACATAATTTTCATATGAAACCATGAGAGAGTTCTACATAACTATTTGTTTTCCATTGTTAGTTGACATGCTTTACTTCGGATTTTAAAAAATTGAGAATACCTACAAAAACTTACATGGAAGCATTCAATATGCTAACAACAGCACTTTCCACTTCCTAGTTGGTTAAACTGTCCTGAAATTGTAGATTTTCACAACATCATAGTCTAAAAGTTACTTATTCTAAGAAAATTATAATGGCCTTATAGTTTCTATAGTTTCGATCATCTATTTGTTCCTCAGGTTCAGGCTAGCCTAAGTCTTAATTATGCCAAATCGTGAATGTCTATTCAATCTTTTTACATCTGTAGAGAATTCCATTACTTTAGTTTGAAAGCTCATCAGGCAACATACTGACATCATATATGGGAAGACCTTTGTTATGTTTACCATCAACCTCTTTTCCATATTGACAACCCCATTCCTTAATTCTGGATTAGGCTTTCGAGGTTCTGAAAGAGCTACTGGTCCAGCGCAGTGGCACATACCTGTAATCCCAGCACTTTGGGAGGCCAAGGCAGGTGGATTGCATGAGCCCAGGAATTTGAGAACAGTCTGGGCAATTAGGTGAAACCCAGTCTTTACAAAAGAAAAAAAAAATTAGCTGGGTGAGCTGGTGCATGCCAGTGGTCCCACCTACTCGGGAGGCTGAGGAGGGAGGATCACTTGAGCCTGGGAAGTGGAGGTTGCAGTGAGCTGAGATCACACCACTGCACTCCAGCCTGGGTGACAGAGCGAGACCCTGTCTCAATAAATAAATAAATCATAAAAGAGCTACTAAAGTAACTGTATTCTTGAATAGGGATCAGTGCAAATAGTAAATATTTTTGCTTTGCAGGCCAACTCCTCAGCTGTGCCATGGTAGGAGGAAGGCAACCGTAGACAAGGCATAGATAATGAGCATGCATGGCTGTGTCCCACGACCTTTTATTCATGGACACTGAACTGTGAATTTCATGTATTTTTTTTTTTTTTTTTGAGACAGAGTCTCGCTCTGTCTCCCAGGCTGGAGTGCAGTGGCATGATCTCGGCTCACTGCAACCTCCACCTCCCAAGTTCAAGCAATTCTACTGCCTCAGCCTCCCACGTAAAATTTCAAGTAATTTTTATGTCACATTTTATTCATTTTTCCCCTAACTATTGATAAACTCCATTGTAAACTCCATTCTCATCTTGTGGGGTGTACAAAAAGAGGTGGTAGGCTGGATTTGGCACATGGGCCATAGTTTGCCTACTCCTGTTCTTGAAGATGCAATTACATGATTTCTAAGCCTCATCCACACATGCAATTTTAGAGGAGAGGGTCATTAATTTTAATTCACTTTCCTTTCTAAACATCAACACATTTCATAGAGTACTTACTGTTACAAGGTCCGGAGGACAATGGGAGAAAGTGAAATTCGGACCTCAGTATGGCATCCTTAACTCGGTCATGTAACCAAGGCAGCTGTGAGTGGCAGATGTGCCCCTACTCTGGGCTACTTTACTATAGACATATCTGGGAAGCAATATCGTACACTTCACCTTATTTTTATGCCAAAATGCATTGATGTCTTTATTGGTTCTAATTGCCAACATTTTAATTAATTTTCTTTCATAGTATATGAGGTTAGGTGTAATATTTTTCTTTCTGTCATAGTGAGAATAAGTTCGTATTCAAAACGATTTGTCTACATTTTCCACATCTCCAGATTCTATATATAGTAGCTATATAAATTATATAATATAATCACTATATGTTGTGATTATAAATTATATGGTATAATCACTATCTGTAGTGATTATAAATTATGGCATATATATTATACTATATGTGACATAATTATAATATGAATATGTTATATAGAGTAAAGCATAATTTATAAATGATAATATATATAAATATATAAATTATAGGCTTAAATGTATATAAAATATAAATATATAATTATACATAAATTATAGTATAATCACAACATCTGGATCAACCTAATATGAAATTCTTTTTTAGCCTAATATTAGTGTAACCATTGCCAAATTATACTTTCTAAATATGTTTTTTGGTAGAATTGAGGCCTAATATGCTGGCTATATAAGTTAACTGCAGATACTAAAGCTGGTATAATTGGCATGGTATTGATTTAGAAATATTAGTAGATAATAAAATACTTTCAGTCTAAGAAATTGAATTAAGTACTATTATTCATACACTTTTCTTGATGATGACTTTTCTATTTCATCATGCTAATATAAAAATAGACTAAAAATACTCCTTAGTTAACAAAATGATTTACAGTGAAAGACTTGAGGTTGCTTATTCAAGGAACCCTAAGGGGGAAGAGCTGAGAGACCACATTTTGAGTTTTGTGAGTAGTTATACATTGCATGTTCTCTTGGCTTTTTGCTCTTTTCACATAGCAATTGTATTTGGAATTATCCTCTTCGGACTTATTTGGAATCATTTGCTTCCACGATTCCACCCACCCCTCTCCATATGAGCCTACAAGATCTTGGAAGGGAGGGAATAGGTCTCATTCATTCCATATTCCTAGGACTGAGCAAAATGCTTAGATTAGTGTAGATGCTTAACGCATTTTTGTAAATGACTGAATTGCATTATTTTGTGATTCAACTTGTTTGGATTCATTATAAGAATGTTATATTTCCCAAGTCTGCCTTTATAAAGAGGAAACAGTATTCCTCATTCAGTTGTCTTTGCTTCCAGGAAACGAAGGAAAAACATCCCATGTATCTGAAATCCTTTTATTGGAGCCTTCCTGTCAAAACTTCATCACCTAGACACGTTAAAGCCCTAAATGTGAATTGCCACAGCTGTAGGTATTTTAGCAGCAGATAAACGTTTTCTATAACTTCCAGTATAATCAGGGATGGCTATGAGGCTGTGGGTAAGAGCGAGATGTAGGTGGCTGAGAGCTGGGAATAGTAGCAGGGTACGGTGCAGGCTGGGCACATGCTCTGATGCTGTAAACGGAGTGACAAGCTGGCAAGTCTAAGTGGAGACTGAAGCAATTGCAGGGGTGAACGGAGCCCGTGAAAAGTTATGTCACTTGTTTTACTAGTACAGTATCTGAGGTGCTTCTCTGATTGTGATAAAGTACAGAAAAATGTCAAAACAAATTCAAAGTGACTTGAAGAACCTTGATTTACGCTCCTTGAAAATGCTAAGCATTTTATTGTATTGCACTTACCTATCTAAAAAATGGGTAAAGTAACCATTTAAATATTCCAAGGGCTGTGAAACTATTTGGAAATCAGTCCTTTAGTTATACAGTGGCTCTGACTGAACCCCTCTTGAAGTTAAGCATCATAAGGAAAAAGTTTAAGCCTACTCAGTAAATCAAGAAACTTCCTAGTAGATTTTCTTCAACTCACTCAGAAATGTGATTAACAGGAAAAAAATAAAAGGGGAATATTTTTAAGTACCTGTCCTTCTTTAAAAGCCTGTGACTTTCCTCGCTTCGTGGACAGATTCATCCTTCACTGGATTAATGAGCTCTGTGACTCCAAGAGGGCAATGCCACTAGCAGGACAGTTCTCCAGGTGGCCTTGGGCCAACCCAATGTCCCCCCACTTTTCGCTTCCAGTTCTCAAGAATAACTGTCGAATGTGCCAGGAATGCAACATCCTGAGAAAAGGGGAGAACTGACCAAACAGCCCAGGCTAGAAACCCCCAGAAACAGGATGTCCTTCGATGTTTCAGCCCAGCAGTCATGTGACACCCGGGGCGTAAAACCCAGGGTGGGCTGCTTTCTGGGGTCCTTCAGCTGCGGTGCAATTAAGGCATGAGCAGATGAGACTGTATCCTCCTGGGCAGCTTTCCAGAGCCTTGAGGGATCAGCTCATCATGAATGCTGGGTTTTTGTCCCTTGCTGTTTATCTGTAAGTAATAAATCCACTCTGTGTAGTGTGTGTGTGTGTGTGTGTGTGTGTGTGTGTGTGTATGTTCTGTTTCACCAGACTCAGGCAAGTACTAACCAGCGCACAGTGAACCTGCCTCATAACACTCTCTTTTGTTAAATAAGGAAAGTTCCATACAGTAGAATATATTCTAGACAAGTACAAACTAGATGGAGTGGGCCAGGCATTTGACGGGAGGTAAGCAGGGAAATCCGAGGACAACTCTCAGCTTAATCCTTGGGACTGTATTGTAGCAGAGTTCTCCACTTTCACCTTTTCTTCAATATTCCAAGTTTTTGTCTTGAGATATTATCTCACCCTTGGTGTCCCATGAGCTGAAATATGGTTCTGGTTTTATTTCTGCACATGGTAGGCCAGTTTCCCACAGCTGATACTGATGCTAATACCAATATGAATACTAACACTATTTAATAGTAATCTCTTACATAGCACTTATTATGCTCCCAGCTTCAAAGGTGCTCATATTTGGATGTGGTATTTAATACTGTTCTTAAGCTACCCCAAAGACTCTAAAAAACCGACTTTAGGCCTTCACTCATGGATTAACACCCTACTGAAGAAATAAAACCCAAGGCAACCTCTTGCCAGCCTCAAGCAAAAGGCTCACCTATAGGACATTTAGTTTGATGGCCAAGGTGGTTTTTCCAAAGACAGAAGTCTGACTGACCTTTTGGGAGTGTTTCTTTCTTTGTTTTATTTTTTGGTTTTTATTTTTGGAGGCAGGGGCCTCGCTCCATCGCCCAGGCTGGAGTGCAGCACAACCACAGCTCACTGCAGCTTTGACTTCCGGGCTCAAGTGATCCTCCCACCTCAGCCTCCTGAATAGCTAGGACTACAGGCGTGCGCTACCACACCTGGCTAATTTTTGTCTATTTTGTAGAGATGGGGTTTTGCCATGTTGCCCAGGCTGGTCTCAAACTGTGGGCTCAAGCAATCCACCCACCTCAGCCTCCCAAAGTGCTGAGATTCCAGGTATGAGCCACCGTGCCCCGCAGGATTTAACCTTGCCCTAGAAGAGGTCGGTCTGGCCTTTGCCCTGGTGGTAATATTGATTTGCTGGGGGTCAGGGGAGGGGAGGCTTGGGCTAGCCAGATTGTGACTGTTTGACTTAGGGTGGGGGCCTACCACACCTGAAGGTGAAGGCTAGCCATCCCGAAGCCCAACAGTACGATTTAGAGTAGGAGGTTTGTTTCGTATAAATGTATGGGGTACAAGTGCAGTTTCGTTACATGCATACATGGCACAGTGGTGAAGCCAGGGCAGTTAGGACATCCTTCACCTGAGTGACATACACTGTACCTATTAAGTAATTCCTCATCATCCCATTCCCTCACTCTTCCAAGTCAAACTTCCAAGTCAAGGATGGGAGCTTTGAGTCAGGCCACCTGGATACAGAGATCAATCATGTGGACAATCAATCAATCCGCTACATAAGGGTGCCAAATATAAATTCTGAATACTGAGGCTTGGGTGAGCTTAGCTGGTTGGCAACGCTCTATGTAGACTGTCACATGAGGAAACTGGGAGACTGATGTGCTCTAACTCCATGGGAGGGAGACAATGAGAGCTGTGTCTGGTACTTCCGCAGCCTCGGCCCTACGTACATCTTCCTTTGGCTGCATTTGATCTGTATCCTTTCCCCGCAATAAACCATAACAGTGAGGATCACAGTTTCAGTGAGCTCTGTGAGTCCCTGTAGCAAATTATTGAAACTGATGATGGTTTCGGGAATCCCTCAAACTTGTCATTTGTGTCAGAGTTGAGGGTTGTCTTGTGTTGACTATTCCTTTTAAAGTGAGTAGTTGGCTCAAACTCTTTGCATTAAGCCCAGATTCAAACTCCGGCCTCAGAACTTCCTGGGAGGATTATTTAAAATGCAGTCTCCTATTGCCACTCAAACCTACTGAATCAGAAAGGTCGGGGAGGGCTGGGAAGCTGCATTGTCATTATTATTTTTATTTGAGACAGTGTCTTGCTCTGTTGCTGAGCCTGGAGTGCAGTGGCACAACCACAGGTCACTGTAGCCTGGACTTCCTGGACTCAACCAATCCTCCCGCTTCAGCCTCCGGAGTAGCTGGGACTATTGGCGTGCACCACTATACCCAGCTAATTTTTAAAACATTCTGTAGAAATGAGCTTTCCCCACCTTGGCCAAGCTGGTCTCAAACTACTGGGCTCAAGTGATTCTCCTGTCTCCACCTTCCGAAGTGCTGGGATTACAGGCAGAAGCTGCATTACTAACAAGTTTCCCAGGTGATTCTTACACACCGTGAAGCTGAATCCCACTGTTTTCAATGAGAATGAAAACTGAATCTTAGGAGAAAATAACCTGACCTACAACAACAAAAAATTACCCAGAGAGTCCTGGCACGGTGGCTCACCCTGTAATCCCAGCACTTTGGGAGGCCAAGGTGGGCAGATCACCTGAGGTCAGGAGTTCAAGACCAGCCTCGCCAACATAGTGAAACCCCGTCTCTACTAAAAATACAAAAAAATTAGCTAGGCGTGGTGACAGGTGCCAGTAATCCCAGCTCCTTGGGAGGCTGAGGCAGGAGAATCCCTTGAACCCGGGAGGCAGAAGTTATAGTGACCCAAGTTTGTGCCACTGCACTCCAGCCTGGGCAACAGAGCAAGACTCTGTCTCAAAAAAAAAAAAAAAAAAAAAAAAAAGAGTCAACAGTGATAACCCTGGATGATCTGTTAGGAAGGGTCTAGTGAACAGCTATTCCTTTCTCAGTTCTCTGACTTTTTATAGAAAAGGTGACAGTCACTTTGCAGGTCCCTGGAAAGGAGTGACCTACAAGATATGGAGATGGGATTTACCAAAGAAGAGTGGAGGTGGCTAGACCCTATTCAAGGGGATCATGTTGAATAATAAGCACCTGGTCTCGCTTGGATTTCTGGTTTCCACGGGGACACACTGGATCAGAGAATTTTGATTCAGGCCAGAGGTGCCCTGGCTCTGGCTTACAACATGTTTGGGAGCTGATGGTGTGCATCCCTTCCTGATTCCATGGTCAGTGACATCACCTTGGCAGGTTGAAATTGGTCATGGTGTGAGTGTTTACACCACCGTATATTACACCACCACACTGGGTGTTAAATATTTACCAGCACTTCGCTGGTGCAAGCCCAGGATAGTGCCAAAGGGAGGCAATGACACTTTCTCATCCTTTTACCTGATTGAATAAAAGCTGTGATTTACATTAAGACACCTGGACTCTGGAAGGATGCAGAGTGCAATATCTGCAAATACAAAGAACACCCGATAAAATAAAGGACAATTTGCATATCTGTGTCAATCTGGGAAAGACAGTATTCATTTTAATTTTATGAGTGACATTACAGAAAGGTTGAAAGGGGCCATTTAGATATCAAGTATTATTTGTCACTCAGTAGTCTTATAACCATTATTATAATGGCACAACCATAATGGTTTAAACACAGCCTTAGCAGTAAAGCTTTGATGTCAGAAGAAGGAGTTTTTCTGAAGTTGGATGAAGGGTATTCCTCTCCTTTGGCTTTGCTGTCAGCAGAAAAAAGGGACTGCTGTGGGCAGGGCAGTGAGTGAGGGGCAGTGCTGGATTGCAGGCTTTGTGTGTAGGGCTTTACCTAATAGTGAAGATGTAGGTGAGCCATGAATTGTATGTTCCCTGGTATTTCATTCTACTTTATCTTTCACTGTAATTTAAAATTTTGAGCTAAGAAATTTCATTATGAAGAGGCCATTGATTGAGTTCACTTACAGCTAATGCTGTCAGATTAATGTAAAATTCTGTTTTTCTGAACTTAATTATTAAGATCTTACAGGTGAAATGAAAGAACAATTGATTTCTACCTTTGCTCTGGCCAGATTTTAGTATTTAAAATATTTATCTAGTGCCTTCGGCAATATTAAAAGTGTATCTTAATTGGGTTTACATTTGAATTCTCTAGAATGAACTCACTAGGCATACTTGTATGTCCAGAGACTTTTTAGCTGGTGAGCCTACTTCTTAGAACTGTACAGATTAATATAAGTATTTATAGGAAATGTGTAAATGCCAGTTTAGTGTAATTCCCATGAAACATTTTTTTAAGTGGGTCAACTTTTAGACTTGTAAAAAACATTATTTTGTAAATTTTTTATTTTGAATGGAAAGAATAAACAGAGTCTTAACTTTTCATAAGCTAATTCTCTTTAATACTGTCTCCTTAAATTGCCACTGTTATTATTATGGTTTTCTGGTGTAAAAGGTAATGCAGTTGAGAGGACAGGGAACATTTATTGAGCACTTACTGAATGCCAGATGCACTCCTAAGTACAGTACTTGATGTGTCTTATCTCATTTAATCCTCCCACTAACCCTGGGAGATAAGCATAATCCTGATCCCAGTTTATAGGTAAGGAGACTGAAGCTTTCAGAGGCTAGGAAACGGGCCAAGGTCAGATTCTGAGAGGCGGAGGCAGGCTCAGACCTAGATGGTCTGATACCCCAGGCTGTGCTCTTAACTCCCTTTGTATTTTGTCTCACACTCCATGCAATACAAAGCAAGGGAAGACCTCAGAATTATTTATCCACAGACACGTGATTCAGAAACAATTTTAGCACAATTCCAGGAGTTCCCAGGAAAGATCTCTTTTTTTTGTCATTTGATAAGATGAGATTAAATTCCTAAAAAGCGCATTTTGATTCTTGGCCATGACATTAGACGGGACATCCCAAATACTTAAATACCAAGCTTTGTCTGCTAATCATTGCCAGTAATTGATCACTTAATGGATCAATTGAACAAGTCTAGCAAATCAACGAAGTCATCCTCAAGGGTTTCTAATCTCATGTGGACACATGAGAGGCTATCTCCCAACACCAAGTAGTCTGATTACCACCATCAAGACCAGCTTCCTTACTCCAGGGCTCCAATGGTCTATGGCTCTTTGATTTTTTAAATAAACTGCTGGAACCTCTTATGCTGTCACTAGCTGGCAGCTCAGTGTCTCCTTCACAACCCACCCCCTAGCGATTCCCTTACACATCTGGGCTCCTACACAGGCCTCAGCAGTGTCCCACCGGGTTGTAGCCATCTGAGTTCATATTCACATGTTCAGTGTCAGCTATTGTTCCTGAGTGCCTGGGCTATGCCAGGTGGCTGGACCCTAGGAGACTTGCAGCCTCAGCCCCGGCTCTCTGAGAGCGAGCACTCCCTCTGGGATGCTTAGGCTGCAGAGTTAAGCACTGGACACAGTCAAGACTCTTCTACCTGAAAATCAATCATTTTTAATCGACAAATAATAATTGTATATATATGGGGCACAATGTGATGTTTATATATATGAATACATTGTGGAATGATTATACAGTATCGACCTGAGTAATATATCCATCACCTCACATACTTGCCATATTTTTGTGGTGAGAACATTTAACATCTATTCTTTTTAGCGATGTTGAAATATCCACTACATTATTATTAGTTATGGTCACCTTGCTGTCCAGTAGATCTGAAAACGGATTCCTCCTGTCTCACGGGAACTTTGTACTCTTTGGTCAACTATTCCAACCGCCCTGCCCATCATCCCCCCTGCCTCTGGTAACCAACATTCTCCTCACTACTTCTATGAGTTCAACTTTTTAAGATTCCACGTATAAGTAAAGTGAAGTCATGCAGTCCTGACTGTTTTGATATTCAGATCCCGTAAGGAAGGTCTAGAGGGTTGGGCTAAGATCAGATGGTGAGAGGGCGAGATGCCATGGAAAAGGGCTTGGAGTTTGAGTTTCACCCTATAAACAGTAAGTGTAACTATTGAAGATTCCTTCCTTCCTTCCCTCCCTCCCTCCCTTTCTTCCTTCCTTTTTTCCTTCCTCCCTCCATTCTTTCCTTCTTTCCCTCCCTCCTTCCTTCCTCCCTCCCTTCTTTCCTTCCTTCCTTCTTTCCTTCCTCCCTCCCTTCTTTCCTTCCTCCCTCCCTTCTTTCCTTCCTCCCTCCCTTCTTTCCTTCCTCCCTCCCTTCTTTCCTTCCTCCCTCCCTTCTTTCCTTCCTCCCTCCCTTCTTTCCTTCCTTCCTTCTTTCCTTCCTTCTTTCCTTCCTCCCTCCCTCCCTCCCTCCCTCCCTCCCTTCCTTTCTTTTCCTCCCTTCCTTCCTTTTTTTGAGACAGGGTCTCGCTCTATCACTTAGGCTAGAGTACAGTGGTACCATTTCGTCTCACTGCAGCCTAGACCTCCCAGGGCTCAAGGGATTCTCCTGCCTCATCCTCCCCAGTAGCTGGGACTACAGGTGTGCACCACCATGCCTGGCTAATTTTCTCTCTCTCTCTCTCTATATATATATATATGAGTATATATATATATATGAGTATATATATATATATATGTGTATATATATGTGTATATATATGTGTATATATATGTGTATATATATGTGTATATATATGTGTATATATATGTGTGTATATATATGTGTATATATGTGTGTATATATATGTGTGTATATATATGTGTGTATATATATGTGTGTATATATATGTGTATATATGTGTATATATGTGTATATATATGTGTATATATGTGTGTGTATATATATGTGTGTATATATGTGTATATATGTGTATATATATGTGTATATATATGTGTGTATATATATGTGTGTGTATATATATATGTGTGTATATATATGTGTGTATATATATGTGTGTGTGTGTATATATATATATGTGTGTGTGTGTGTGTATATATATATATATATATTTTTTTTTTTACGGAGACGGAGTTTTGCCATGTTACCGAGGCTGGTCGTTAACTCCTGGCCTGAAGTGACCTTTTTGCCTTGGCCTCACAAAGTGCTGGGATTACAGGTGTCAGCCACCATGCTTGGCCAACTATTTCTGATTCTAGGTAAGGATGAGACATGAAGAAATGGATGTCTCAAGTGAGAGCACTGAAATGGAAAGGAAAAGGTGGTTTATGATCCTGACATTTTAGAGAACCTGTAAGCATGTCACCACGCTCTGCAAACATGGGGTCAAATCAGACATTTTCTTGGTGGTCTTGGTGGCAGATTCAGGGGAATCTGGGGTCAGAGAGGAGAATTAAAGGCAAATTGTGTGTTAGACTTTTCCAGGGAACCATAAACAGAAATGTACGTAACTTACCTGCAGTTGATTTACATGAAGGGATAAGGCAAAACACTGACCGTCTTAGCCACTGTGGATCAAGTCTTGCGGGACAGGAGTTTTAGAAGTGCTGAGCCCTGCTCTAAAGGTACAATTGTTCAGCTACTCTTGTCTTTTCTTCTGTTCCCGGGCAGCCCTGCCCCTGCTTCCCTCTTTACCTCATAACTTCTGTTTGCTCATGGATTCTACCGCCTTAGAACTTCTGATTACTGCCTTTTTCTCTTCTCTCTCTTTAAGTTCACCCATCTGTTCTCTAAATCAGAAGTCACCAAACTTTTTCTCTAAAAGTCAAGATAGATATTAATAGTAAATATTCGAGTCTTCGCAGGCCCTGTGATCTCTGCTGTCATGACTCAAGGATGCCCTTGTAGTACAAAAGCAGCCTTGGGCAGCTTGAAAATGGATTGGTGTGGCTGTGTTCCAATACAACTTTATTTACAAACAATGAGATTTGAATTTCCTATAGGCTCAACATGGTACAAAATATTCTTCTTTTATATTTTTTCAACCATTTAAAAAGGTAAAAACTAATCCTTGCTTATGGTCCATGTAAGGACAGATGGTGTGGCTGAATATGGCCTATAGGCTATAGTTTGTCTATCCTTGGTCTAGATTCTTCTCTAATTCACATTTATATTTTACAATAGAAGATACTCACTGGTTTAACCAGTGATCACATTTAAGGTCTTGGGCTTTGAAGTGTTTTTAATTAATTTTTTAATTTAAAATTTTTATGGACACATAAAAATTGTGCACATATGGCCGGGCATGGCGGCTCATGCCTGTAATCCTAGCACTTTGGGAGGCCAAGGTGGGTGGACTGCCTGAGCCCTGTAGTTTGAGACCAGCCTGGGCAGCACGGTGAAACCCCGTCTCTACTAAAATACAAAAAAAGTTAGCTGGGCGTGGCGGCATACACCTGTAGTCCTAGCTACTCGGGAGGTTGAGGCAGAAGAATTGCTTGAACCCGGGAAGCAGAGGTTGCAGTGAGCCGAGATCACCCCACTGCACTCCAGCCTGGGTGACAGAGTGAGACTCTGTCCAAAAAAAAAAAAAAAAAGAAAAAAAGAGTTGTGCACATATTTATGAGGTAAATGTAAAATTTTTAAACAAGCATACAATGTGTAATGATCAAATCAGGGTAGCTGGAATATCAATCACCTCACTTATTTATCATTTTTTGGTGTTGAGAACATTCCAATTCTATTCTTCTAGTTATTATGAAATATACAATAAATTGTTAACTATAGTTGCCCTGTTGTGCTACTGAACACCAGATTGTATTCCTTCCATTTAGCTGAATTTTCAGATCCATTAACCACCCCCTTCTTATCTCCCCTTTCCCACTACCCTTCTCAGCCTCTGGCTACCACAATTCTACCCTCTACTTCAATGAGATCAACTTTAGATTCCACATATGAGTGAGAACATGTGACATTTGTCTTTCTGTGCCTGGCTTATTTTACATAACCCCCACTTCCACCAGTGGTGTTGCAAATGACCGGATTTCATTCTTTTTATGGCTGAATAGTACTCCATTGTGTATATGTACCCTATTTTCTTTCTTTATCCATCCTCTGATAGACATTTGGGTTGATTCCACGTCTTGACTATTGTGAATAGTACTGCAGTTAACAGGAGAATACAGATATCTCCATGATATACTGATTTCCTTTCTCTTGGGTATATATCTAGCAGTGGGATTGCTGGATCATAGGGTAATTCTATGTTTAGATTTTTGAGGAACCTCCATCCTGTTCTTCATACTGGCTGTATTAATTTACATTCCCACCAATAGTGTATGAGGGTTTCCCTTTCTTTGCATCCTCCCCAGCATCTGTTATTATTCGTCTTTTTGATAAAAGCCATTTTAACTGGAATGGGATAATATCTCACTGTGGTTTTGATTTGCATTTCTCTGATGATTAGTAATGTTGAGCTTTTTTTTCATATACCTGTTGGCCATTTGTTTGTCTTCTTTTGAGAGATGTCTATTCAGAACTTTTGCCCATCTTAACATTGGATTCTTTGGGATTTTTTTTTCCTACTAAGTTGTTTGAGTGCTAGGCTTTGCCATTTGCTTGGGGTCTGAATTCCAGGTCCAGCTGCACTTATTAGCTGCATAAACTAAAGCAAGTTATGCACATTTTGGGGGCTTCATTTTTTTTCCTTTGGTAAAATGAAGATAGCATGAATTCCTAATTCAATGAGTTGGTGCCGGAACCAAACAAGAGACAATGGTGTTAAAGTGCTTAGCTCAGAACTTGGCACATAATAAGTAAACACTCAGTAAGTGTTCACTGTGATGATGATGATAATTAGATACTCCTTGGGCCTTTTCCGGACCACACGGGGCCAGCCTATGCCAGGGTGACCCAGGAGAGAAGGGCCTTATTCTATTTTGTTCATTGTTATAACACATGGTATTAGCTGCTTAATACATATATGTCGAGTAAATCTACAAATCCCCAGTTCTATCAACTAGGCTAGGGTAGCAGAGACCCATAAAGCACTGCATAGGGACCTATATATGAAGAATCTCAGGTTTCTACTCTCTCAGAAGGGGTCGGTAGGCTGGAGGAGCACTCAAGGCATCATGTCCTGGGCTATAATTGTGACTAATATTCATTGATCATCTAATATAACAAACAAGGAAGAAGAAACACTTCAGAGGGCAGAGCCGAGGGAGGTGCAGAAGGGCTAGTGTTGTTGACATGGAGGTGAGGAAGTTGCTTCAGGAAGAGGAGAAGTAACAGAGTAAAAGGAGAAGCTTCCCTAAGGGCTTTATTAGTTTTAAGCTATTTTCATTGTAAAGAAAAACAGAGACACATAAAACATAGAAATCACTTGCATGGCTTAATAAATTATTAGAAGGCAGACACCACTCAGATCAAGAAATTGAACCTTGTCAGCCACACCGAAAGCACCCTGCATAGCCCTGTCCCAATCGCAAACCCCCTCTCCCACCATAAGTACGGTAACTATAACCCTCACTTTGACAGTAATAACTTTCTTGAGGTTTTAAAAAAACAGCTTTATCACCCTGATGTGCATTCCTCAAAATACAGTTTACTCCTACCCATTACAAAAGTGGATGTCTTTTAAGTCTCTTTTTAATGTATAGATTTCTCCACCATCCCTTTCATTTTATTCCATTAGGTTGATGAACTCGGGCTGTTTAACCTGTAGAGTTTCCCATAGTCTGCACTTTGCTGATTGATACTCTTGGTGCAGTTCAACATGTTCCTCTGTCTTTTGAATTTCCTGCACATTGGCAGCTGAATCCAGAGACTGGATCAGACCCAGGTTTGATCCCTTTGGCAAGACTAAAGGCGGTCTTTATATGCTCTAGTGTTTCTCCTGGCTTAGTCGTCAAGTCATCATTTCAGTAATGATTTTTGGCAGGATGGTAAAGGATGCGCAATATCTGATTGTCTCACTTCTTGTGGTTTTCGCATCCATTGCTGCTAATTGTCCATAATATATACTCATTCATTTGTGGATGCAAAAATAGAGATATTTTAATTCTATCATTTCTTTTTCATTTATTAGTTGAAATACTTAGATAAATAGACATGTTCTTTCTTCTATGATTTGGCTCCTATTTGAAATGGTTATTTTCCTTTATTTACGAGTTTTGAAGATAAATCGGTTCCTATCTTCTGAAATAGATAAAAAAATAGCAGTGCAAACCCATGGATTTAAACACATTTTGTAGCTTTAAATGCATTATAATGATGATCAGTATTGAAGTTAATTTGTCCCGTCTTTAGACAGTGGGGCCTTCTTCACTCACTCTGAGTCATTATGGCATGACCCTTGCAGTGATTGATAGCTTCTTTGATATTACCTAATATAAAATGTTCCTTACTTATCTTCTTTTTTTTTTTTTTTGAGACAGGGTCTCACTCTGTCACCCAGGTTGGAGTGCAGTGGCATGATTTTGGCTCACTGTCGTCTTGACCTCCCTAGCTCAGGCAATCCTCCCACCTCAGCCTCCCAAGTAGCTGGGACTTACAGGCGTGTGCCACCGTGCCTGGATATTTATTCTGTTTTTTTGTTTTGATTTTCTTATTCAGAAACTCATATTAGCCATTAAAAAATTTCCTTTTCTTTCCTTCAATATTGATTGATCTCTTTCTTTTTTAATTTTTAAGTTTTTATGGACATATAATAGTTATACATATTTATAGGATACATGTGAAATTTTTATACAAGCATACACCAGGTAATGATCAAATTAGGGTAACTGGGATAGTCTCACCTCAAGAATTTATATTTTTTTTGTTTTAGGAACTTTTCAATTCCACTTTTCTAGTTATGTTGAAATACACAATAAATTGTTAACTACAGTCATCCTACTGTGCTACTGAACACCAGGTATTATTCCTTCTAACTGAACACCAGGTATCATTCCTTCTATCTAACTGGACTTCCGTATCCATTGATCAGTCCCTCTTTTCTTCCCCTCCCCACTACCCTTCCCAGCCTCTGGTAACCCTCATTCTACTCTCAACCTCTATGAGGTCAAATTTTTAAGCTTTCACGTATGAGTGAGAACATGTGATATTTATCTTTCTGTGCCTGGTTTATTTCACTTAACAAAATGTCCTTTAGTTCCATCCATGTTGCTGCAAATGACAGGATTTCATTCTTTTTTATGGCTAAATAATATTCCATTGTGTATGTGTGTAATATTCCAATGTGTACCACATTGTCTTTATCGGTTCATCTGTTGATGGGTACTTAGGTTGATTCTGTATCTTGGCCATTGTGAATTGTACTGCATTAAACATGGGAGTGCAGTTATCTCTTTGATACACTGATTTCCTTTCTTTTGGATATATACCCAGCAGTGCGATTGCTGGATCATATGGTGGTTCTATTTTTAGTTTTGTGAGGAATCTCCATACTGTTTTCCACGTGGCTGTACAAATTCACATCCCCACCAACAGCATAGTAGGGTTCTTCTTTCTCCACATCCTTGACAGCATCTGCCTGTCTTTTGGTCACTTTCTCTTGAATCCCTTTTGTGTATTTATTTATTTTAGATGTTTAAAAATTTCCTTTTTTTTTTTTTTTACCTTCTATTTCCTGTGAGACATTATCTATTGTGTTTATAAGCTCTAGTGTTCCTTCTGGTTTAGTCTTCATTTCTGAAATGATTTTTACTTTAATTTCCGATTCTTTCCTGAAGCCTGTCATCTCATTTCTGCACTTTTCCATTTCTGATTCATGTTGCTCTTTCAACTATTATGTCATTACCTTAATGTCTTAGGTTGTTTTGAAATAGTGGGTTTCTGTTTTGTTCTTTTTCGAGGACACATCTTTCTAGTGGCTTTCATTGTCTGTTGGGGTATTATTCTATGACTTGTTCTCATCTTATCATAACATTGTATGAGATTTGACCTCAACACCTTTCTGTTGTTCATTTCTATGTGAAATTAGTTTTCTTGAACTTTAAGAATAAGGCTGGCTGGCTGCGTGCCGTGGCTCACGCCTGTAATCCCAGCACTTTGGGATGCCGAGGCGGGCGGATCACAACGTCAGGAGTTCGAGACCAGCCTGGCCAACATGGTGAAACCCCGTCTCTACTAAAAACGTACAAAAATTAGCTGGGCATGGTGGCGTGTGCTTATAATCCCAGCTACTCGGGAGGCTGAGGTGGGAGAATTGCTTGAAGCCGGGAGGTGGAGGTTGCAGTGAGCTGAGATGGCACCACTGCACTCCAGTCTAGGGAACAGAGCAAAACTCCGTCTCAAAAAAAAAAAAAGTAAAGAATGAGTCTGGCTTCGAGGTAGCTGTTCTAACTTCCCAGAGCTCCCTCTTCTGTTGCTCCTCTGTAGTGTTCATGAGTATGGCAGCTTGCTCTGAGACTTCTGGGCTCTCTTCAAGCCCTCTTACTGTCGGTGACTTCATCTCTTTTGTCCCTGTCCTGCTCAGTGTTGACTCCACTGCCCACTATTTCTGTGCTCTGTGGGGCCCAGGGCTTCACTGTGATTCCTGTGGGTCCTAGGCCTCTGTAGGTTCCTTCCTCTATTAAAAATGTTAAAAATTATATTTTACAACTGCATGGAATATAAAGGCAAATCTATTATATATTAAAACATTTTCTTTGACCTAAAAGTGCATTTTTCCTTTTTGATTTTAAAAGAAATTGAAATCTTTCATGGTTTCCTGAAAGTACCGTGGGCCCCTGACATTGTGTCTACAGTGCCGGATGGATGACTCAGCCCTGGAGGGACCCTGTCGTGGAAGCGTGCCCTGGTGGGTGGTTTTTGAGCATTCCTAGTGGCTACACTGTTTCAGCCCCTTCTTAGCCTTTCTGGGCCTCTTGCACTCACCTGGTACTGGATTGGCAAAACCTTCCCCATTTTAGCAGTTCTTCTCAAATGAATCATGCTTTCCTGCAAGTGGAAGTTTGCATGTTGGCTCTACGGGGGCTCATGTTCTCTGGCTCCTCAGATGCCACCTGTCTCTGCACTCTGCCTCCTCCTGCACACGTGTTCCTATCACGTAGTTCTTTCGGCTGCTGGTGGTTTGTCCCCACCTACTTGTACTCTGATGTGTGTGGGGACATGTTATCATCTAGCTTTGTCGCTAATGTTGTCTAGGGAATTTTGGTTTGGGGATTTAATTGTTCTCTCTCCTTTGATGTGTGGATTGAGAGAGACTGAAAAACTGTACTGCTCCTGCCACCATCTTTCTAAGAGCTTTGAATAAACTTCCCGTCTCAATAATTCATGAGAACCTCTTCAATTGTCCCACAAGTCCAGAGTGAGATCCCATTGCTCCCAAATATCCTCCTTTCTAAAATTCTAACAGTAAGGGATTAATTTGGAGGTGACTAGCAGGCTTTAAAGACACCGATATCTTTGGAATGGTTAAGGGGGAGTAATCAGTGTATGAGTAATCACTCATACACTGGAGGGAATTATTTTCAGGGAGATTTTGGTTTACTTAACCCATAGTCAAGTGACATTAAGAGATCAGGGTGAGGTGGACATGAGAAAATTTTGGAGTTGGGACACTGGTAGGGGTCCAGCTTCTGGGCACACAGTGGACAAGGAGTGGGGATTCTTAGATAGGCATGGAGAAATCAGACACACTTTACTTTGAATCTTGCCTATCCTCAGCCAATCCTCACAGTGTCCTATGTACTTGAAAAGCCTTTATGTAGATAAGAGGATTTCTACCTTAACCTTAAATTTTAGTGAACTACATTAATATTTTGTACTGACTAAAGATTTCATTTCTACCCATGGAAATTGAAATTGTGATTGCCTAAAACACCAATCAGGCAGAAAAAAAATCTCTAATGGAAGATGCCAGCTTATTCTTTTATTTATTTATAGATTTATGTTTATTTTTATTTTTGAGTCAGGGTCTTGCTCTATTGCCCAGGCTGGAGTGCAGAGGCACAATCATGGCCACTGCAGCATCAAACTGCTGGGTTCAACCTCGAGGTCCACCTTGGCCTCCCTAGTAGCTGGAACAATAGGTGCATGCCAATGTGCCTGGCTAACTTTTAAATTTTTTGCAAAGATGGGGTCTTGTTATGTTGCTCAGGCTGGCCTTGAACTCCTAGGCTCAAGCAATCCCCCCACCTTGGCCTCCCAAAGCTCTGGGATTATAGGCATGAGCCACCATGCCTGCCCTGTAGTTTGTTTGTTTGTTTATTTATTTATTTATTTATACAGGCTATTTGTTGCCCAGGCTAGAGTGTAGTGGCGCCATCTCAACTCACTGCAGCCTCCCAGGTTCAAGTGATTCTCCCACCACAGCCTCCTGAGAAGCTGAGACTACAGGTGTGTGCCACCATGCCTGGCTAATTTTTGTATTTTTTTGTAGAGATGGGGCTTCACCATGTTGGCCAGGCTGGTTTTGAACTCCTGACCTCGAGTGATCCACCCGCCTTGGCCTCCCAAAGTGTTGGGATTACAGGTGTGGCCCACCGTGGCCTTGTAGTTTATTCTTGATGTTCTTGTGCATCCTCAAAAATGCAGTAATCTAACTCTCCCAACTGCCAGGTCACAGGACTGGTGCACAGCTATAAACCTGGAATGACCCATTTTATTCTTTTAAAGAACAAAATCGAGTCTGGGCCCGTTATTTCAGGCACACATGTGTGCTGGTTATTTATCAATTGCCTCTCAGCTTCAAGCCCACCCTTCTCTATTTTGTTTGGTGATGCTAGGGGTAGGAGTCTGCAAACTACATTTCTCACGCTCCCGTGAAATTGGCTTCTTGTAAGTTTCTGCAAATGGTAGACAATTAGAAGGCAGGGAGAAGGCAAAAAGACCCTCTATTTCTAGATCCTGTTAGCAACCACCCATTATTAGAAGAGAGCTAAGGCTCCCCATCAAGCTTCGTTGACATTCTCAGCACCAGCTAGGATGTGCCCTCAGAGGCACCAACACCAGCCATCCTGCTCTTTCCTGGCCAAACCACCATTGTGCTGGTTTATCTCAAAGGTTTGAGCACCAGGTACGCAGGTCTCCTCCTTTGAGCTCCTAGATCTCAAAACCTCACCTCTTTCCTTTAGTTCGCCTGGCCTCAGGTTGCAAGGTACTTTCTGCAGTTACCACCATCTGGCTACCTCAGCCCTAGGGGTTGCTTTTGCTTCCAGTGATCGCTGATATTTACGTCACCTCAGCATCCCCTTTGCCCTTTCACCCTTGCAACTCATTCCTGGCAGTAAATTTCTTCAATTCAAATCCCTAGTATACTTTTTGTTGATTGGATTGTTTATTGGAACTTGTTCTGCAAGCTCTAGTTATCTTTTGGCTGCTCTTCTCAAATTGGCCTGCTGTGCTTTGCAGTAAGTACACATCAGCCTGTTGGCTCTAAGGGCGGACTCTTGCCTTTCTTTTTATTGAGAGGGAATTACGTTTTCTACTTTTCTCCATTCTGAAACTCGGTCAACTGATATGTGTTTAGTGGGAGCTTTTATATCCTTGTCTTCAAATACTCAATGTGTTATTACAAGGGGAAATAATAATTTTATAACTCAATATTGTTAAAGCATCTAATGTATACAAACTATTGTGCCAAGAAAATTAGATTTAGGATAACAGTGCCATTTTAGAAGTAGGACAGAGGGATTAGAAGATCAAACCTAAGAAGAAAGATTAAATAAATGGTTATTATTTCTCTAGAGAAGACAGAAAGTATGTTTAATACTAGAATTACAAATGATTTTATGGGAGACAATAAATAGCAATTCTACAATCCACCTTGGGATGGCACATGATTGCATTTCTAGGGCTAAATGTGGCATAGAGGCTGAATATCAATGGCTTCCTTTCAGTGAAGGTTGTTAGGAAGATAAGCTACTGAGAAATAATGGGAAATGTCATTCTCTGAACATACACACACATTTCATATATATATGTACACGTATATATATGGTTCTTGTCTGCCTGGAGTGAGTTACTGGAGTCCTGCCGAGGGCATGGTCCGACCTGTTAACCTCTGTATGGCTTTCTCAGGTTTTAGGACTCCACTTCCAAGAATTTATGATCTCCTTAGCTTTATTCACTCCTGGCTCTTGTTTTGTTGATGAAAAGCATAGCCAGGGATCTTTATTCAGTTGGAGGGGCTGCTAATTGATTTTAAAAAATGCATTTTGTTCCTGGTCACTAATGGACTGATGGAGCAGCTGCTGGTCTGATAAAAACCAGGCTGGAAAGCAGTTCCCACTATGGGGTGGTCTGTCGCCAAACATGATTGCTTCTGCGTATCAATTGTAAAAGCACAGCCTTGCATGTTCCCAGAGACTGGGGCTGTGTTTTATTTAAAAGTACTTCTTCACTGTCTTTAAAATAACGTCACCTTGAGAAAAGGTGAATTAACCTGTGCATATTATCTACACAATTTGAAGTCTGTTACCATTGAGCAATTTTGAAGAGTTCAAAAGCATGAGCCTGATTATCAAATAAATAATTTCAGATACTAAACCTTTTAAAGTCCATAGAGATTTCAGTTGGCTAATAATGAAAATAATTATTTTATTTTTTGTTGTAGTCCAGGAATTAGATGGACTGAGTCAACATTGGCTTTGTGAATATGATAGCATATATAAAGTATTAAACTTTACTACAAAGCAATAAACTATGTCTTTTCCTCAAAGATACTTATAGCTAATACTCTATATTTACATTTGGTAGCATTGGTAAAATCTCCTAATAATTAGTAATGGACACTAATAAATAGAAAAACAGTGATTGATGAAAATAGAATCTCATATGCAATTAATATCAAATTGAAAGATATAATTATAAATTAGGCAAATATTGTTTATTTTGAATACAGTGGAATGCACTATACCCAGGACCTGGTATCCTGAAGCAACCCAGTGATTATGTATATTTCTTAGAAGCCAAAGGGATTAGAAACAGAAAAATATTGTCTTCTGTTACATGAGAGAGAGTCCAATGGTTTTTTTAAAAAATCAATAAATCCTCACTAGGTATTAGCCTCTTGTTAATTATTGTGGCCAGCAGGGAGCGCAAGTCAGTGTTAGCGCCTTAATTGATTTTTTGGTTGATTTTTAGTTTTCTTTTGAGTTCCTGTGGTTGCAGCTGTAAAGATTTAGGTTGGGGCATACCCATTTCAATCTAAGAAAGTCTCTTTCTCTTACCTTTTCTCTGCTGCCTAGGTAAGCTGTGACTGTACCTCCTGGTCCAAAAATCAGGAGACCCGACTTTTGGCACAACTCCATAGCTATGTGATATAACCTTAACAAAATGACAGAAAATCTCTGTGCCTAAGATTACCTGTTTGTAAAATGGTTGTATTCATCTGTTCAGGCTGCTGTAACAAAATGCTATAGTCTGGGTGGATTATACACAACAGAAGTTTCTTTCTTACAGTTCTGGGGGCTGGAAAGCTCAAGGTTGAGGTGTCCATTGATTCAGGGTCTGGTGAGGGCCCACTTCCCAGTTCATAGACCACTGTCTTCTGAGCCATACCACACTGTAGAAGGGTTGAGGGACTAATTTTAAGTGTGCTAATCCCATTCATTAAGAGCTCCGCCCTCATGACTTGATTACCTTCCAAAGGCCCCACATTCTAATATGACCTTGTGGGTTAAGATTTCAACACATGAAATCATTTTGGAGAGACATAAACATTCAGTCCTTTGCTTCTTTGCTTTGGCTGTCTCTCTCTTTTTTTTTTTTTTCTTTAGAGATGGAGTCTCGCTCTGTCGCCCAGGCTGGAGTGCAGTGGCCCGACCTCAGCTCATTGCAACCTCTGCCTCCCGGGTTCAAGCAATTCTCCTGCCTCAGCCTCCTGAGTAGCTGGGACTACAGGCGCTTGCCACCACGCCCAGTGAATTTTTTGTATTTTTAGTAGAGATGGGGTTTCACCATGGTAGCCGGGATGATCTTGATCTCCTGACCTCGTGATCCGCCCGCCTCGGCCTCCCAAAGTGTGGTTCTCTCTCTTTTTTAAAAAAATTAAAGATTGTGCTTTAATTATTTTAAAGCAGTGGACACTTGTCATTGAAATACATTTGTACAGAGAAGCCCCACATATTCTGAAATGCATTTTCTCTGTTGAAAGGTTGGGGAGAAAGCTGAATGCCTTTGACACTGCCTGTACCACTTTATCTGCCTTCCTGCCTCTTGATAACACTGGGAGTACTTGAAGGAACCTCTGGGTGACAAGGAATACCCTTTGAAGACCACAAGATCAGATGACCTACATGCTCCCTTCCAGCTATATGGTATAGTTTTAACCCAAATTTCTGTACTGATCCAGAAAGCCCTATGCTTATTTTCGTACTCATAATGAAAATCATTTGTAAATATAAGATTTAAAGTATTCAATATCTAGCTTTTATAGAAACATTCACTGTATGTTTTGCTTGGATTCACTGGAGTAAAATTATTTTTAGAAACGTGTGTGTATATGTATAAATCTTAAGATACATGTCTTCTTACTAGGAGGTGATAAGAAGGTTATAATAAGATCACATGGAACAGTTTAGAATTTGACAATGCGATTCAATTCAGTTTCATTCAGTGAGCATTTATGTAGCGCCTACTGTGTAGAAGACACTGTGCAAAGCTGGATCTAAAGCTCCTAAGGGTTACAAAGATGAATGACAGACTCTGTCCTCAAGTTCTTTCTGATGTACTCCTTGTCAGAGATTTTAACTTTTTAATACATTCTAAGTGTAAGAAGTGTAACGTACCTAGGGAGAAATTGGTTTGAAGCACATAGAATAAATAAATGAATGAATAAATGCCATTGAATAGGTCAAACGTCCTGTGGCCACGTATGGGCAATGTGTGCCAAGGGTCAAGTAAAAGTGTCCCCGAATGGAGAGCGATTCTGTCCTTCTTGTGTATTAATGTCGATCCATCTATACTAATGGATTTAGCATGAAAGGAAGTAAGGTGGGGGTGGGGAAGTGAGAGTCACTGCCTCTCAGACTTCCATCCTTCATTAACATTAATGCTGTCTTCAACCTGTGCAAGTTGGCAAAACACAGCCTAAAAGCTTAATACAAGAAAAATAGTTCTGATGCTCCTGATTCATTGACATCAAGCACCAAACGATCTCCTGGTATACCATGTGCCTTCGTTTTTGTCCAGTGAAGAGGAATTTCCCTTCAGTACAAGTTGGACACAGTAAGGGTTTTGTGTCTTCTCCCAAAAGTTTATTATTTCAGTTTTAAAACAATTTTCCATCTATTGGCCCACACTAACCCTGAACAAAAACAGACTTAGCTTGTAGGAATTAATGTGTTTTGTAAATCAGCATAAAATGAACCCTTCTTTTAATTAGTAAGTGTTTACTTGCATCCTTTGAATTCAATCCTGGGAGTCATTTTCCTGTAGCCCGGGAGCTCCGACAAGCCTACAGACAGGGGGAAACTCAGAATGTGTTTGTGTGATCAGCTAAGGGGGTTTGTGCCCAGATCTGTGTCTGGTGAGCAATTCTGTTCTGAATATGTGAAACACAATGATCGAAACAATGTCATTATATGTCTTCCTTGGGCCAAACATGCTTTGGTAAGAACTCAAAATATTCACATACAATGTTAGAATAATCTCAGAGATAAAAAAAATCAAGGTCTAGAGGTAATAAGACTTGTTCAAAAAATACTCAGTGAGCGATTGGCAAAGTTGGTACTTTCCAAGGCCTCCTGCCTGTCGGTGTAGTATTCTTCATATTCAAAAGATGTCTTTTACGTTCCCCAGAGCCATCATCTGTGATTTAGAGACCCATTTTATTTCTAAGTGTTGCTCAAACCAAAAAGAAAACAAAAGATTAAGTAGGTTTTTGCAACTATTACCTAATTCCACCGCAGCCTACCACTGCATCTGGCTTTTCATCTGCTCTTCAATATTTCTTACTCAAAAGCAAACTCAAAGATAGTTGATGCCAGAAATAAAGCAAAAAATCAAGAAAAAAACACCTTCCTACAAAAAGCCCATAAAATGAATTTGAAAGAAAACAAATGGATGTATTTCAGCTCTCTCTCCATTTCTCTTCTTCTATCGTAGCTTCCTCTCCCATTTTCTCATCTAATATTAAAGTGTCTGCACATGAGAGCAGATACACGTGGCAAGAAAAGACACAGAAGGTGGCAAATGTTTCCTTTTCTTTCTTTTTCTTTTTATTATGAAGAGCTTTTCAGAATTTGCAGATGTTAGTACTCGGGTGTGGTGTCTTAGCTGTATTCCTGCACTGTATAGAGGTTTTGAGGGTGACTTCTTAATTTGTGCAGTGTCTGAGATGCCGTGTCTGGGTGCAAGACAGACTGTGATTAGCGAGTGGTTTCTTCCGGAGGCCTGAGTCAGGGTCAGACTGGTAGCTGGGAGGTAAAAGACATTATACCGTGTTATCAATTCTTGCTCAAAGTCCTGTTTTAATAGTTTAATATTGACATCCAAATAGTCCCCCCAAAACCAACAAAACACTTCAAATGCCCTAACTTTTAGTGTCAGCCCTTTTCAAAGGAAGAGCAACTATTTACGGACTTCTTATGCCGTCAAAATTTACAAGCTATTATTTAAATCACAACTTATAACAATTCCTCAAAGTTAAAAGGAAGAGTTTCCTAATATGAGAGTTGGTGGATGATTTTCAAGATTCATACTTCTCTTTCTTTTTAGAGGACAAAAGAAAGCAAAGCATAAAAAGAGAAATGGTTTTTAATACTGAGTAGAAAAACGCAATATATATGTAGAAAATATATGCTCCATTTGAATTCATATTTACATGTTTTGTAAGCTCAGATAATATATGTTTTTCATTATTTTAGTAAAATTAAAGAATGGGCATTCAGCTATCTTTAAATTTTCATATTGCTCATGCTAGTTTAGGCACGCCAGATCACTTTGGCATAATAAATTCCTACATGAGCATTGCACAGATACCAAGACACTGTAATATTTTTCTTTTAAGTGTGAATTGAAGAAAAAATATTAATAGATAGGCACATTTTTATGTTAGCCATTATTAGAATTTACTAATGAGAAATCTGACATGCTATTTCCTATTGCTTTAATATGTTATATATTATAAAATGTTTTCCCACATTATAGGCGTTAATTGCATAATGTTAAAAAAAAATCGTGTGTAATTTCTTGTGATTTATGGGCCTGCCATTGGTGACTAGGTGTGGGAGAACTTTGGCTTTTGTGGACTGGTTCAGGGCAAGGATGTGTGAAAAGTTGAGGAAGCCCAATTAGAGAAAGGCACTGAGAAAAATTTTTAAAAATCTATCCTGCTGAGAAGCAGGCATTTTTTCTGGATGACAAATGTCTGGAGTTCTCAGTTTTACAAAAAAAGAGTGCTCACCCCTGGCCTCTTATCCTTTTGTCATGTAGGTAACCTAAGCTGTGGAAAAAAGAGACCATCTGGAAAGAATGCTGCGGTTTCACAGAGCCAACATTATTCTCTACCTCCCCTTCCTCTTCCTCTTTCTTTATGGATGGCAAACAGCGTTCAGATGACAGATTTTGGAAAATTGTCTTAGGAGACGCATTCTCAGGCAGTTCCAGTGTATTGGTATTTTGGATGTTTCTCTGCATTTTGTCATACGGTTCAGAAGGGTGATAGGCTTTCTGTGAACTGCTGGGCTTCAAGAAGGCTATTATCTTCCACTCAGGTTTAATGGAGGAATTTATGGGATTTTGCCACCTTGTGAGGTAAGTTAGATATAAATGCCTTGTGATTTATACATGAAAGATTTTTCATTATGTATCCACATAAATCTTATTAATCCACTACATTTCTAAGATGTCATGGTCAACTGAAGAAATTCGTCACCAGTTTTCCTTGTAAATAAAAATTAAGTACATTCTTCATTTTTTAATGATAGTCAGCATCTACTTATACTCTATCATGATATCACTTCATCTGTGTTGTCATCTTAAATAGCATCCTTTTAATTGTTTCAGGTCAACAAGTAAGGTTCAATAAAGAGAAATATATAAATTTTGTAGCTTATATTCTAAAAGAGGTGCAATATTTTAGCCAATTAGTGGGAGTGAAAAACCAACTTGAGAAATAAATCTGTAAGTGAATGCTACTGGTTCTCAAAGGCATCTTCTTGACAAGAATCAAATGAACACTATCTCTAAAAATCCAATCTGAAGGCAAAACAGATTTGTTAGTGTGATTATTAAAATAATTGCCACCTTCTGGTGTAAAGTGATGTCAACAGTGAACAATCAAGTAATGCCCTTTGCTTTGGTACAGTCAAGCACTCAAAGCTACCGTGAAATAGGATTGGACGGGACCTTTCATTTCATATGAGAATTAATTCTCTAAATGCAGTGGAGAGGAGGCAGCTTATTTTTTCCCCCCAGCAAGCAGCTAGAAACGAGTCTGCGGGAGGCCATATTTTTTCTTACTCATTTCTTAGTGTGTGCGTGTATGTTACCAAGTATCACGGCAAATAATTTATTTTTTTCAATATAGTTCCATCAGAAGAGAAAAAAAATGGCAGAATTTTCCCAAAGGTCTTATGGCTTTAGAAAATTACACTTTGACATCTAAATTGTTTTCTAAGGACTGAATTAAAGGTCACTTTTTTTTTTCAACTGCAGTGAAAGCTTCACAGCTGCTTTGGGGTTCTCTGTAAGAGAGCACAGCTCCATTCTGGATTTCCTACAGATCTCCCCAGGGAGAGTCCATACATGTGTAATTTGTGGCAAACCTCAGTTATGGAGACCAACTCTTCTCAAAAAGCTTAAGTCAATAGCCATAAAGAGACGAGTGCCACGTATATGCAGTTACTGAATACCCTGCCCTGTATATTAAAAAGTATTTTGAAAGAAACAATTCTATAGCTTAAGACCTCAGGTTTAAGAACTTACTGACTTTAAATGTATTCAGAACAAAGAAATAAATATTAAGTATGTGATTTGACATGTAAATTTCTGTCGTTTGCATCTCATAACATTATCTTTTGTGTCAAATCTGTTAACAATGCCTTTAACGTCTAAAATGCGGCACATTTACCACTTCTTGCACTTCTACAGTTGAAAAAGCAAATGCAAGACTGAAAAAAAATAAAAAATTAGGTGATCAATAACACATTTCTTCTCCATCAGATTATTTTTTCCATGTACAGAGTTCCTGTTTGATTTTTCAATTATTCAAAATGTCAGAATGATAGATATAAGAGAGTAACCAGCTAACCAGGGAAATGTCTGCCTAATAATATTCAATATAAAGATTCCGAATGATGCTTTATGATGGATTAAACTTTCCCCTGTTCTGCCTCATTAGGGTTCTCCCAATTTGACCCAATCCAAACCTATTACTTAATACATATCTAACAGTAAAATTGCATAAATGTTCACTAGTACAATAGAAGTTAAATGAGCAGTTTCAGATAATTTAATTAAGTTGTAGGTCTTCTAATATAATTCCTTAAGTATGTGAACTTTTAACTTGTGTTAACTCAATTTCCTTATGCTTTCATTTACCATTTGTTGGGGACATTACAGTGATTAGCCAAAGTCCTTCCAGCTACTAATGTTCCCCATAAATTTTGATTTAAATTGACTGTCACTTTCTCACTATAATAAAGTAGATATTTGACATCTCAAAAAAAGAGAACTGGTCTAGTATATTATGTTGCCAAGGAGTGGCACGTTTTTCTCTATCACACAGAATCCACATAAAATACCCCTTAATAAAGGCCGTTCAGAGTAGGCAGAACGAAGTGGATTGCGTACTACATATTCATAGACATGCACACTTTAGCATTTCTTGAAACACTAGGCTCGTAGATACCTTTGGTATTGAAAACACACGTGGCATCATGTTCCCATCTTATTGTTTTGTATTTGGTGGTTATCACTGTCAGCATTTAGGAACTGTCTGTATTACAATAGGAAGGTAGCAGCTCTTCTGTTTCAGCTGAGGTCAAAAGCAAGATTTGGCCAAGTGGGCTAAGCTCAGATACTTCTCCCATGCTTTCTCAGCTCAGATAACTAAAGGGGCAAATCATATAATTGTGCTTTGAAATTTTCAATTAATATATGTGTTTTTCAATATTGTATGTGTGTTGATAATTGCGAAAGCTGGGTGGTGAGTACATGAATGTACATTATTGCTATGGTCTGAATGTTTGTGTCCCTGAAAATTCATATGTAGAAATTCTGACTCCCAAGATGATGGTATTAAGAGGTGGGGCCTTTGGCGGGGGTGATTAGGTCATGAGGATGGAGTCATGAATGGAATTAGTACCCTTATAAAAGAGATCCTAGAGAGCTGCCTTGCTCTTTCTGCCATGTGAGGACATGGAGAGAAGGTGCCACCTACGAACAAGAAAGCAGGCCCTCACCAGAAGCTGAATCTGCTGGCACCTTGATCTTGGACTTCCCAGCCTCCACAACTATGAGAGATGAATTTCTGTTGTTTATAAGTCACCCAGTTTGTAGTATTTTGTTGTAGCAGCTTGAATGAACTAAGGCAATTACAATATTCCCTCTACTTTTGTATATGTTTAAATAACCCTAAGCAAGTAAAATTATGTTCCCCAAATATATATCTACCCCAAACTCTCTTTAGTTCCAATAAAATGACTCTGTCAATAGGGTTTTGGTATCATCAATTACCATCCTTGAAGTTATCTGGTCACTCCATACACAAAAGCCTCAGTTCAGTGCCCAGAGTAACCTAAAAGACACAGGAATAGTAACATTTTTTTTTTCGCCTAGGTTCAGTGCTAGAATTTCTGCGTTGGATGGATCAAGAATCTACGGGGAGCCAAGTCACTTAAAAGTATCAGGTATGCTGTAGGATAACTGCTTGCAAGGGACAGGAAATGTCAGCCCCTCTGGCTAATGGTTTTCTCTAACAGTTTCCCATAAAACCACTGCTTCTGCAGTGTGCTTGGCATTGGCCTTGACCAGAGACAGCCTTCTTCTTCTTCTTCTTCTTTTTTTTTTTTTTTTTTTTTTGAGGCAGAGCCTCACTCTGTCGCCCAGGCTGGAGTGCAGTGGCATGATCTCAGCTCACTGCAATCTCCGCCTCCCGGGTTTAAGCGATTCTTCTGCCTCAGCCTCCCGAGTAGCTGGGACTACAGGCACGTGCCACCACGCCCAGCTAATTTTTATAGTTTTAGTAGAGATGAGGTTTCACCATATTGGCCAGGCTGGTCTCGAACTCCTGACCTTGTGATCCACCCGCCTCGGCCTTCCAAAGTGCTGGGATTACAGGTGTGACAGGTGTGAGCCACCACACCTGGCCTGAGACATCCTTCTTTGAAGCACTTGGTGCCCACAAAATACAACACTCAATTCTGGAAACTTCTTGGCACCTATTCAAGAAGAGTATTACCTAAGTAATCATAAGATTAACTAATATTTTTCAGGAGCTTACTCTATGTTAAGCAATTTGTAAGCATTTTTTTCATCTATTCTTACAACTTTAGAATTAACAACCATTATGAATCTTGTTTTACAAATGGGACAGCTGAGGCACAGTGAAGTCTCCTAAATTACCAAAGGGGGCAAAGCAAGGCAGCGATACTTAGTCGTCTTTGTTTTTTTTTGAGACAGGGTGTTGCTCTGTCACCCAGGCTGGAGTGCAGTGGTGTCATCATGGCTCACTGAGGCCCTGACACCCGGGACTCAAGCAATCCTCCTGCTTCAACCTCCTGAGTAGCTGGGACAACAAGCGCATGTCGCTACGCCCAGCCAATTTTTAATTTTTTATAAAGGCGGGGTCTCCCTATGTTGCCTAGGCTTGTCGTGAACCCCTGGGCTCAGGTGATCCTCCTGCCTTTGCCTCCCACACTGCTGGGATTACGGGCGCGAGCCACCATGCTGGGCCTGCCCAACTTTGAATTGAATGTTCTGTCATTACACGAGAGCGGCCAGGTTATATCCCTGTTTCACTGGATGGATGATAATATAGTGTGGCTTCCATGCACGTTTATGAATGTTGGATAGTACATTTAGAAGTACATACATTTTTATAACACAAGTAGTACCTGTTACTGAACAATTTAAACAATATTGTTAATCTAAACATAGAAAATAAAAATTTTTACTAGTTTCACTACCTAGAGGTCACTACTTTTAAGATTTTACTTTACACTCAAGTCCTTTCTACACCTGTTTTAAAAATAGAAATTGAATTATACTGAGCACATTCTTTTATAATCTAGTATTTGATTTAATAATTTCTCATGAATATCTTCCAATGTCTTGAAACATATTTCTATAACATCTTTTTTAATGGCTGTGTAATTGAATATTTTGATTTTGAAAGAAGTCAAGGTACGATATTTTACAGCTCCAAGTCCCAACCTGAATTTCACATCTGGCCTCAGGTGGAACTATTTCCACATCCTTACTTGCAAAGAGTTTTGAAACGTGGGTTAGGCAGAGGTGATCGAGGATCAGCATATTGCAAGAACAGATGCACACACAAAGAGCTCACTATTCAAGCTCCTTTTCCTTCTTCAGTATCTCTGCATGGTTAAGACGAGTGGATTGTTTTACATCTAACAATTCTGTAACTGGGTACTCCTAAGTAAAGGGGTACAATAATTGGCTAACAGTGAAGTTGCGTGAAGCTGTGGGAGGAAGGGGCAAAGGATTCTTGACATGTAGTCGAGAGCTTTGGCCACTCAGTTTCTTTTGCTTTCCTCGCTGACTCAGCCTGAGGGTAAAAGGTGAAGTGACATCTTTACTGAGACCTTCCCGGTCAGATGCAATCGGATTGACTGAAAGCTCTCAGAACGAAACGAAATTCTCCCACCTGGGCAGCACGTGCTGGCCAGAGAAATGACTGATGAGGAGTCAGCTCTGCACTACTGCTGGACAACAATTTCAACATCTCATTTAAAACTAAAGCAGTGAGTTAAGGTGGTTTCTGAATTATGTATTAAACTCAGCTTCCAGATATAGTCCTGGTTGCTTATTTCAGCTAAACATCTCTCTGAAACATCAATGTCCACAAATCACGGCTCTTGCTCTTATTTGTTGGTCTGGTTGTCACTTCCTATAACTCTTTACTCTTTTTTTTTTCTCTTGCTCTGTCACCCAGGCTGGAGTGCAGTGGCACAATCTCAGCTCACTGCAAGCTCTGCCTCCTGGGTTCACGCCATTCTCTGGCCTCAGCCTCCTGAGTAGCTGGGACTACAGGCACCCGCCACTGCGCCCGGCTAATTTTTTGTATTTTTAGTAGAGACAGGGTTTCACCGTGTTAGCCAGGATGGTCTCGATCTCCTGACCTCATGATCTGCCCGCCTCGGCCTCCCAAAGTGCTAGGATTACAGGCATGAGCCACCACACCCAGCCAACTCTTTACTCTTGACTCTGGTATTCTAGCACCTAATATTGAATTTTCAATATCAAGCTACCCTCCACCATGAAAACCTCTGCTTCCCTAAAAGTACACAAAGTCCACCAGCAATTTTGACAAAAGCACAAATTATTACTCATTGTCCATTGGGGAGTACTTTGCTCTATCAACCTCTTTCCCATGTCAAAGCCTCAGTTACACTCTTACTAATTATCACTAATGGAAATTGTGGTGTTAGCTGCAATCTTCAGATTCATTAAGACCAGCTCTCAAAATACTCCCAGGCTTAGTGGCTGGTGCCAAGAGTAGGTCTGGGCACCTGAATATGTAAACTCTCTCTTCCTTCCAACATGACCTTCCCATTCTACTTCACCCCATGCTTTCTTCCATTCATTTCCACCACTAATAATATCACCCAAGTCCTGTTAAAATTGCTTCTGAAATACCTCTAAATATTATTCCCCTCTCTCTCTCTATTTCCTCTGCTCCCCACCCCCAGCTCAGGCCACACTGCTCTATTACTTGGATGTCTGCAGTAGCATAGCAACTGGCCTCTTCACACTGACACAGTTCCTCCCCAAATCAGTTTTCCACAGCAGTGAGAAGGATTGTTTTAAAAAGTATCAATGTGGTCACGTTAAAATCTTTATGTGGCCTGAGTAGGATACTCGGATGTCCAGTTTTGTTTTTTTGTTTTTGTTTTGTTTTTGAGGCAGAGTCTCGCTCTGTTGTCCAGGATGGAGTGCAGTGGCATGATCTCAGCTCACTGCAATCTCCACCTCCCAGGTTCAAGCGATTCCCCTGCCTCAGCCTCCCAAGTAGCTGGGACTAAAGGTGCACACCACCACGCCCGGCTAATTTTTTGCATTTTAGTAGAGACAGGGTTTCACCATGTTGGCCAAGATGGTCTTGATCTCCTGACCTCATGATCCAGCCGCCTCAGCCTCCTAAAGTGCTGGGATTAAAGGTGTGAGCCACTGCACCCGGCTGTTTCGTTTATTTTTTGAGACAGGGTCTTGCTCTGTCACCTAGACTAGAGTGCAGTGCCACAATCACTGCTTACTGCAGCCTCAAACTCCTGGGCTCAAGTGATCCTCCCACCTCAGACTCCCAAGTAGCTGGGACTACAGGCATGGGCTGGTTTATTTATTTATGTATTTATTTTTGTTGTTAGTTGTGATGAGGTCTTGCTACCTTGCCCAGGCTCATATATCCAATATGCTGGAACGATACCAGTTTTTGCTTGTTGTAATGATTCATAATGCCTCATTTACTGTCAAGAGTGTTCTGCTTTAGAGAATAAATTATATGGTTACATTACCTATGAGGTCACACCTCAACAAGCCCCCATCCACAGTGGGACGGGCCACTGCAAGGATGGTGCCACGCCCCCTCCCACCCAGGATCCTTGTACATGCAGTTCCTTCTTTCAGAAATGTTATTCAACCCCTTTTTCCTTTCAATCTAATTTTTACTTACTCTTCAGCTCCCATTAGAAAACAAGCTCCACCAAGGCAGGAACCTCTGTCTGCTTAGATTGCCACTATATTCCAAGTGCTTAGAATAATGCCTGGCAAATAATATGTACTGAATTGGTTGAATAAATGGATCTTGATTCAAGCATTACTTCCTCAGGGAAGTCCTTCCTGCCCTTCCTTCCTCTACCTGCCCCAGTATTTGTTTGCTTTCTTTGTGCAATGTTGTTTAAAAATTATGTACTTTCTTTCAGAAAGTACATCTCAATTTATGATGATACAATCATTAGTTCACTAGACTTTGACTTCAGCTGAAGCAGGGGCCATTTCCATTTTGCTTATTTTTATGTTTGTGCTACATATCATCCCACAAACAGTGTTACATGAATAAATGAATGAATATTGTGACAAAAGCACTATATAAAGCATTTTAGCAATCCCAAGAAAAATTAGATATGGCTTATTCTCTAGAAGCTTATAATTTATTTGAAGTGGAGAAAACCCAAAAATATACAAGTCGGTGGCAGTACAAGACAATGAACTGACCCATAGGATTTTAGAACAAAAGACTCTGGAAATGATATAGATCAACCCTAATTCATCACAGCAGCATGAAGTGAATATCACACAATGATGGCAAGAGTCATATGAGGAGATACCTGGATACCAAGTACTTGAAGATGTTCGGAAGTTGGAAAATGCTGCTGTGTCCGTGACTGTCAAGGAAAGGTTATGGAAGAAATCAAGTTGAATTGAGTTTTGAGGGATTTATCCTCTAATGAACATTTATTATCTATTATATAATAATAGCAAGAAGACTCTGTCCTTGTCCAAGCAGGGCAAGAGGTTGGCAAACTGTGCTTTCCAGGCCAGATGCGGTCACCTGTGTTTATAAAGCGCTGTATGGGAACATGGCCGTGCCTATGTGCTTACATCTCGTCTACGGCTGCTTTTCAGCAGATGAGTAGTTGCCACAGAGATCACAGGGCCCACAAAGCCAAAAGTCTTTCTTGTTTGGCCCTTTACCAAAAAGGTTTGCCAATCCCTGAGTTAAACTCTCAGGGTTGTGTGGAGGAAACAGCCATACAGCCCCCAAAATTAAGAGATACGTGTTTAGAAGAGACATGTCAGAAGCTTCATAGAAGAGTGGTAGAAGAGAACATGCAGCACAACGAGCCCAGAAGAAAGGATATGTGAGTGATGTCTTGAAGGATCAGGTGGTCACTGGAATTTGATTATAAAGAAGGAGAAAGAGGCTGGGAGTGGCGGCTCACGCCTGTAATCCCAGCGCTTTGGGAGGCCGAGGCAGGTGGATCACGAGGTCAAGTGATCGAGACCGTCCTGGCCAACATGGTGAAACCCCGTCTCTACTAAAAATACAAAAATAAGCTGGGCGTGGTGGTGGGCACCTGTAATCCCAGCTACTGGGAGGCTGAGGCAAGAGAATCGCTTGAACCCAGGAGGCGGAGGTTGCAGTGAGCCAAGATCATGCCAACCTGGCAACAGAGCAAGACTCTGTCTCAAAAAAAAAAAAAAAAAAAAGAAGAAGAAGAAGGAGAAAGAGGCTGGGCATGGTGGCTCATGCCTATAATCCCAGCACTTTGATTGTGTGAGGCCACGAGTTCGAGACCAGCCTGGGCAACATAGTGAGACCTCATCTCTATAAAAAAATAAAAAAATTAGGCATTGTGTCACACATCTGTATTCCCAGCTACTTAGGAAGCTGAGGTGGGAGGATTGCTTGAGCCCAGGAGTTCACAGCTACAGTGAGCTATGATCACACCACTGTGCTCCAGCCTGGGCAACAGAATAAGTCACTACCTCTTAAAAAGAAAAGGATAGAAGATATATGAAGAACTAAGGTGAGACTGCAGGAATGTACAGATTTTATTTGAGGGGAAAATGCATAAAATTTCCAGTCTGGGCCACAGGTTCCCGTTGGGAAGCACACGATGAAACTTTGTAGAGTGAGACGGCAGGCACTATGCAGAGCCTTGAGTGCAGGGCTGAAACATTTGAAATTCACCAAGAAGGCCATGGGGAGATGTTGATGGCTCTTGTCCAGAGCAATGACAGAAGAAAAGGAACGCATGTTTTGATTCTGAGTCTGATGATATGGATTGGGAGAAAATCCGGGGAACCACAGAGGCCATCTCTTGAAGAAGACAGAAGAAGTTGGAGAGTTGAGAGCAAATTAGCCTACAGACAGGTCTTGCTTTGTCCACAAGGTGTTTGAAGATTATTAAAAACCAACTGTCGGCTGAGCGTGGTGGCTCATACCTGTAATCCCAGCACTTTGGGAGGCCAAGGCGGGTGGATCACTAGGTCAGGAGATCGAGACCATCCTGGCCAACATGGTGAAACCCCGTCTCTACTGAAAATACAAAAAATTAGCAGGGTGTGGTGACATGTGCCTGTAGTCCCAGCTACTCAGGAGGCTGAGGCAGGAGAATCACTTGAACCCAGGAGGCAGAGGTTGCAGTGAGCGGAGACTGCATCACTGCACTCCAGCCTGGGCGGCAGAGCGAGACTCCATCTCAAAAAAAAAAAAAAAAGAAAAAAAACAAGTGTCCACTGTTTTACATACAAATCTAGATTTCTGCCACTCTGCCACGTCTGAGAAAAATCACAGTCTCTGGCAGTACTGGGCCTGCTTCTTGCATGGTAACAATGGGTTGGAGCTGAGCCATGCGGTGTGGAGTTGGCCCCATCAGGCGCCACTCTGGCCATCTGTAACCGTGTAACATAACCCCCGTGGACACTGGAATTTGCAGCCTCTTATGCCATAATCTGGACATAAAATTTGAAACAGTCCTTAATTGGATGGGAGCCAACACATTCACCTTTCTTGTCCTGCCCTGATCTCTTAGCCACTGACTATTCTTTTTGAAGTTTTCTGAAGATCCACCTCCTTCATTTTTAAGCACCACGTTTGTTTTTGTGTTGTAGACTCTTAATTGGAGTGTGATAGATCTTGTGAACATCTGCCTGAGGACATGACCTCTGATTTAATTCTATTGTGACATCTTTCTCTCTTTCCTCCCTCATTAATTTCTCGCAGACCACATCTTACCTGCAAACCAAACATTCTGACCCCACTGCTGCCCCACACCGCCTCATTTCTTAATCTTGTAGTTTCCATCTTTCTTTCTTGCTTAAGCAACAATAGCTTTTGTTTGTGCTTTTCAGCGGAGTTTGAGTTTTAATTCTCCTTCAAACAAAAACTCTTTCTCCCAAGAAAGTTTTAGAGGGTAGCTTGTGTTACATTCTCAAGAGAAGACTTTAAATTCCTTCCACAAGTCTTTCTCCCTTTGCCTGGCTGTTAAAAATAGGTTTCAATGCGTTTTGACTCTTGGTGATGTGTGAGTCAAAGGCAGGTAGATGCTATAAAATGACAGTTCATCTATTGCCACTCCTGCTGGGCTAGGGTGCCTCCCACTACCCTGCCTGGGACACTGCTTCCTGCTGATGCACCCACAGCTCCATAAACAGGCAGCAGAGCCCACAGTGGATTCTGCTGAGCAAGTGGTACAGACACACGTCTGTTTATAAAGCCTGGATGTGATCTGGTTACATGTGTTTTATGTTTCGAGGAAAATGATTTGGCCCTTGTAAAGCAGTTTAGCCATAATTCTGTGTCAAAAGCAGCCTATAACAGAGCTGGGACCCTGCCAGATGACTTAATAACTAATTTATATTATTGGTTAAAATGCATATTATAACATTTCTGAGCTATTGAGTATCGAAAATTCAGAGGAAAATCTTATCCTATTTGGAAAAGGCCAGCCACAAACTTAACTTCTTCCTGCCTTGTCTGCAAAGTGAAGGGGTTAAAGTAGATGATCTTGAGGTGCTTTTGTGCCAATTCTGTGAACAAAGAGAGGGATGGTGGAGCTGCATTGTCCATAGGGAATTTGGGTTTTCATGATGCCTGAGCCAAATTTCCTGGACCAAGAAGTTGCTGAAAGGCCCAATTTCTCCCTGGGGTAAGGACTGAGATGGGGCAAGACTGAGTAGTTACACAGAGAACCTGTGTGATGAAGTGGAAAAAAGTGTGGATTTTGACTTCGGACAGACTAAGGTCCCTATTTTTTGAGCTCTTCAACCTCATGGTGATTTAACTCAGTCCTCTGCCTTTTGGTTTCCTCTCTTGCTACATGAGGCCAACACCTTTTGTATTCGTTTGCTTGGGCTGCCATAACAAAACACCACAGACTGGATGGCGTAAACAACAGAAATGTATTTTCTCACAGTTCTGAAGGCTGGAAGTCCAAACTCAAGGTGTTGGCAGGGTTAGTTTCTGGTCAGGGCTCTTTCCCCAGCTTGCAGATGGCCACCTGTTCTCTGTGTCCTCACATAGTGATATGGTTTGGCTGTGTCCCCACCCAAATTTCATCTTGAATTGTAATCCCCATAATCCCCACATGTTGTGGGAGGGACCCAGTGGGAAGTGATGGATCACGGGGCTGGTTTCCCCCATGCTGTTCTCATGATAGTGAGTGAGTTCTCACAAGATCTGATGGTTTAAGCACCTGGCATTTCCCCTGCTTGCTTGCACTCACTCTCTCCTGCTGCCTTGTGAAGAGGGTGCCTGCTTCTGCTTCGCCTCCTGCCATGATTGTAAGTTTCCAGAGGCCTCTCCAGCCATGCAGAACTGTGAATCAGTCAAACCCCTTTTCTTTATATAAATTACCCAGTCTCAAGTATTTCTTTATAGCAGTGTGAGAACAGATTAATACACATGGCCTGACCTTTGGGCCTCTGGTGTCTCTTCTTTTACCTACAAGAACACCAGTCCTATTGGATTAGGGCTTCACCCTTATAATCTCATTTCACCTTAATTACATTCCTAAAGGCCCTATTTCCAAATACTGTCATGTTGGGGGTTAGGGCTTCAAAATGCAAATTTTGGGGAGCACAACTCAGTCCACGGCACCTATCTTAGAGGATTGGCATGAAGATGAGATGGAGGAAAATGAGATGACACACAAAAAGTCTTTCATCAAGTTCCCAGGCCATTGCAAAGCCCTACCCAGAGCCACAAATACAACCCAAAGAATGTGTCACCTTAAGAAGCTGTTCAGGCCTCATGATACGTTTGATGAGAAAAAGATTAAGCAGCAGTTGATAACTTTGAGGTTTACTATGCAAGATATCTGATTATGCCTAGAGTGGAAGTATATATTTCTTTAAATATTGTTTCAAATACTTTATTATCAATAATTAGAAATTTATTTGGTTTCAAGAATTAGCTAAGGTTTTGAGGTAAAGCAAAATTGATTGGATAGAGAGCTGCTGTTCACTGCCTACCCTTTGGAGGCTGGAAGTCCAAGCTCAAGGTGTTGGCAGGGTTAGTTTTAGGTTAGACATTGCTTACTACTACAGTGTACCCTATGAGTCAGCACTGACTGCCGGTGTCCACCCTACTGAAAAGAGCAGCCAGATTATGAGTGCAGTGGAGACCTAATGCTTGATTTCATGAACAATGTCTATGCTATTGTTTCCTAGAAGAAATACTGGAGAGCTAGTATCTGTATGGGTGAGAGTGAAAAAATACTCCAGATAGTCCTTGATAGTTGAAAAGTATCCCACAAGGCAGTTAAGCAGTAAGGATTATCATCATGCAAGGAAAGGTAGAAAGACAAGACAACTGGGCAGCCAGAAATGGCTTCAAGCCATGTATGGGTGATCAGACAGTGATGGCATTATCTGTCATTTTTACTGAAACAAACCCCTAACAAATAAGAACATTTCTCCGCAATGTGTTGGCATAGGCTCAAAGGTTAGTGTTTTTTTTGTTTTGTTTTGTTTTGGTTTTGGTTTTTAGATCACTTTAAAGAATCTTTTGAATATGATGTTAGGTTTCTGTAGCCATAAAATCACATTTAAAAGGCCCTGAAGTACAGTAATTGGCCAAAAAAGAGAAGTGATTAAGAACCATCCCTGGTGTTCGACAGATCAGTAGGGTGACTATCGTTGACATTAATCTATTGTACATTTCAAAATAGCTAGGAGAGAACAATTCGAATGTTCATAGCATAAAGAAAAGATAAATATTTAAGGTGCTATATATCTCAATTACTCTCACTTGATTATATAAATGCATCAGATTATCACATGTACCCCCAAATATGTACAAAACTAATATGTGGTGTGGTGGCAGGCACCTGTAATCCCAGCTGCTTGGGAGGCTGAGGCAGGAGAATTGCTTGAACCCGGGAGATGGAGGTTGCAGCGAGCCGAGATCGCGCCACTGCACTCCAGCATGGGCGAATGAGCAAGATTCCATCTCAAAAAAAAAAAAAAGAAAAGAAAAAAGAAAAGAAATATCATGATTTAAGTCTAAATAATGGGAATGGGAAAGAAGAACTAAGCACACTTTGAATCTGCAAGAAAAATGTGTAATTAGGCAGGATCCTGGAGGTAGCTGAGCAGATATTGGAATAATTATAATTGTTCACATTTGGAGATGTCTCAAGCCATTCCTGAGATAATCCATAAACTCCAAGCTCTAGTGTGAGTTTACGAAGCAATGTGTCAGGCACTGGCTCAAATAAGAACTTATTTGGAAAATAAAACATCCATCTATATGAATATATCCATAGTCTTGAAATAGTATGCTCTTCCTGAATTTATTTTTGTGAAGTAAGTTTTTGTTCTTCTTGGGAAAAAGGGACCAACACTTTGCTTAATTCAAGCGTCAGTAGCTGGAGATGGCTTTGAAAGTGGGTCCTGAGGTTTCTGGGCTCATCCTCAAGAGGGAAGTTAGTGCATTGGCTGGAATGGAGGTAAAAGGAGTCCTGAAGTTCAAGTCCTTGGAAGAGGAAGAGAGCAATGTCAACAGAAGCAATGAATGGAAAATTGCTCTGAAGGAACCAGGAGTTAGACATAGAGGAAAGGTACCCCCAAATTGTAGCAAGTGAGGATGTTGTGGAATATCTGTACCTCTGTCTACAGCCTGAGTCATCTTTCAGACAGTACACTTCTCAATCATTGGAATTCAGAGAAATAAGTAATTGAAAATCTGCTACCTTTTATTAACCTGGCTTCTTAGATTTTTGTATGACTGACTCATCTGTCACTGCTTTACTCTCCCATTCTATGTTTTTCTTCTGTGTATATGTGTATTCTGCTTTTTTGACACAGAGTCTCACTCTGTCACCCAGGCTACAGTGCAGCGGCGCAATTTCAGCTCACTGCATCCTCCACCTCCCAGGTTCAAGCTATTTTCCTGCCTCACCCTCCCAAGTAGCTGGGATTATAGGCGTGTGCCGCTACACCCAACTAATTTTGTATTTTTAGTAAAGATGGGCTTTATTATGTTGGCCAGGGTGGTCTTGAACTCCCGACCTCGAGTGATCCACCCACCTTGGCCTCCCAAAGGGCTGGGATTACAGGTGTGAGCCACTGCACCCAGCCTATATGTGTATTCTTAAATCTTCAATTCAAAACCTTCTATTTGTAAGGCATTAGCTGAGGCTGCGGAACTATGCAAAAATAAGTAAGATGCTTTTTCTATGCATAAAGCACTTAGAATCAAGGTGGGGAGATGGACATGAGCATAACTAATGGTACATCGTCCCTACCCACAGCTATGGCCTTCCCCCACCTGTGCCTCCACTCAGAAATTCAGACACCTGGAATTTCTTGCAGACTCATAATATACTGGGGCTTGTCATGCCTCTGTATCTCCACACAGTCTGCAGCCTCTGCCTAGAAACATTCTTAACTTCCTTCTTCTCTTTACAAACTCTTATTTAATAATCACCTCAAGTATGACCTCTGGGAAGCTTTCCCTGACATCCCAGTTTGATGTCAATGATCCTAAATATCATGCTGTAGTATTATAATGCCTTGCATTACAACAGCCTGTTTAACTGGCTGTCCTTACCTTGAAGAAGAGGGGACAGAAACTCCTCCCTTCATCTGTAGCCTTAGTGTCTGGAATTTAGAGAGTTAGAAGCCCTGTCAAGATTTCTGAGCAGAGGGAGAGCTGTCATGACCTGATTCTCTGATCTCTTGTGTGTGCAAGAGTGTATTTGTGTGTGTGTGTGTGTGTGTGTGTGTGTTTATGCATCTATGTATGTATTTTCCTGAGGGATGTCCCAGGTTTGGTAATAAGAAGAAAGCACTGACATTTACTTGGTGTATAACACACCTGCAGAATTTTGAAAATAAAGGGTTTGAACACAAGACTAAATCTGACAAAGGGGCAAATAAATAAAAATGGGGTGCATATTCTAGTTGAGGGGCCCAACAAGGAAGCATCAGTGATATATGGTAGAAGGGGGCTAGAAGGAATTTCTGGAAATTTGGTTCTGATCAAGTCCTTCCTGCTCATCTCTTCTAATTACAGTGAGCAAAATGAGGCCCAAGGAAGAGGGTACTGAAAATGTTGAATTTATTTCATGATGTTATGATACAAAACAATGTAATATAACATCAAAATACTGTACCATGGAATGCTGATATTTTAATGCCAGAAAGGAAATAGGAATATTCAGCTCTCCATGAAACAAATTATGCTTTGGCTGCCTTGTTTATTATTCTCTTTTTTCAGAGTTACCTCTGCAAATTCTTTAAATTCAGTTTTTACTTTGCTTATTACTGGGTCTATTACTGGCATGGAACTAGTTAGTTTTATCACTTTCAATTTCACTCATGAAGGTTTTTTTCTTTTTCTTGCACTGAATCACAAGCTGAGATTTTCTAATATTGTGTTTTATTTCATTTTGTTATGCTTTTTTCTATCATATTCTTCTAATTTTTAAAATCTATTTTCCATGTGGAAGCTTCTCTAAAATCTAACACCTATTAATTTGTATTGATTTACCTTTATTTTAGGATATTTAGAATGCTCATTTTTAATGTTTGTACTCATAGATAATGATTATCATTAAGTTTTAATCTTGATCATTAATGCGTTTATTCATTTTTCACTACCAAAATTCTTCATGTTTAGAGATTACTCAAATATTTTGTAGGGTTCATTAATATGCATCACCAGAAATATGTTTTTATTTACAACATTCTTATGTACATGTGTGGGTAAGACCTATTACCAAAATATTTTAGGGAAATTACAATAAAAAGGAAAGGTTCATCTTCTTATTTAAAAGTTAATTAAATATTCTTTTATGATATAATTCTGGAAGCTGTTTTCATCAAGCAGGAAAAATAATACATTTCTTGCTTTTTTTTCATATTTCATTTGCATTAAGACAGTTTAATTGCTATAATGAAAACCTTTCCTCATTTCTCATCTTAGGAACCAAAAGATGTTTATTGCTTAGTAGTAGCAATGTAGGGTTTTGGTTTTTTTTTAATGTGATTCATACTGAAACTCCACATGGAGGTAGCATTTGTTTTTTTAACTTTAAAAAATAAAGATTCTGTATCCTCATTATTTGCAAGAATGGGAAGCTTCTTACAAACTTCCCACTGCCATCCTCAAACCCATAATTTTGCAACCATTGTATAAATGGGAAGCGCAAATATGGATGTCTTTGCCCTGCTCACTCTCCTGGCTCCAAATCCATTAAAAAGGTGCCTTATTCTATCCGCAAAGGGTTTGGTGGAACAAACATAGGCTTTGGGGTTAGACAGAGGTAACATTCAAATCATCACTCTGCCACCCATCAACTACAGAACTATCGGAACTCTCTGAGTCTCAACATCTGTCTAAATTGGGGCTAACATCACTGCCAGTTTTAAGGAATTGTCTCATGAATGGTATACCCAGCATGGTGCCTTATGTAGAAGGCATTCCAGAAATCGCTAGTTCTCTTTCCTGGCAGCCACAATCCACTAATGCAATGCAAACAATTACAGCTAAAATCACGATAATGTGACTGCACTGGAAAAAAAAAATGACCCTGAAAAAGCCTCGATAGAGAAATCAGACTGCCAGTTAATGGTAACACAAACTTTTTCAACATAATTAAAACATGTTTTAAAGTAAGTAGATTGAAATCATCCTATACTGCAGAGACCAAGAATGGTTAATCCCTGAGCAGAGCAAGGGAGTCCCTCCACATATGAAGGGCCTTGGAGAAATCACCAATATTCCAGCAAGAGAGAGTCAGCTCCATCTCAGGAGGCAGAAACTAGGTTTCTTCAGGTAACTTAGAGCTCTTAAAAGCCCACTTGGGGTTTCCTCTATCCTTTGCAGCTCCTAGGATTTAAAATCGACAGGAAGATTATTTTTTAATTATTACTTTGGGTTGTGTCTCCCAAAGCCTCGGTCAGGCACATTGTGAGTTGATGATAATGCCATATTACCTTTTTATTTTGGCCTCAAACTCACACTAAATACACGCAGTAATGTCTTTGTAGCCTTCAGTCAGGTGCACTGAACCCCGAATGATGGGGTTTGGGGAGAAACTCGTTTACGGCCATGAATAAGCTGCTGAAGTTTCATGCAGCGGAACACTATCAGGTCCTTTCATGAACACTCCGTTCGTCTGAGATGTGTCCCTGCCATAGATGTCATATCTAGTTTCTGCAGTTGTATTTCAGCATCACTCAACAATGAAGAGATAAGGTAATAGCTCTAAAAGTTCCTGAAAGGAGGGAATGCTGCCGGCCTCTCATCCCTGAAGTCTTACTCTCCTTCTGTTCAGATCCTAAGGGCAGCAAATGTAAAGGAAGGATGGCAGATAGAGGGGGAAAGACAGAAAGGACCCTCGGACTGGCTGGAGATAAGGAGGCTCCCAGAACAGAGGTATCCACAGTAGGTCCTGGCAGAGCCATGGTCAGTGAAAGGGGATATCAAAGTGTCACTGAAAAGTGTGGCCTGGCATCTGCTAATGTGTCCTCTGTGTTCAAACTTATATATATATATTTGAGATGGAGTCTCGCTCTGTCGCCCAGGCTGGAGTGCAGCGGTGCGATCTCGGCTCACTGCAAGCTCCGCCTCCCGGGTTCACGCCATTCTCCTGCCTCAGCCTCCCGAGTAGCTGGGACTACAGGCGCCTGCCACCACGCCCGGCTAATTTTTTTGTATTTTTAGTGGAGACGGGGTTTCATGGTGTTAGCCAGGACGGTCTCGATCTCCTGACCTTGTGATCCGCCCGCCTTGGCCTCCGAAAGTGCTGGGATTATAGGCATGAGCCACCGCGCCTGGCCCAAGCTTATATATATATATATATATATATTTTTTTTTTACCATAATTCTTACTTTAAGTTGTGCAAAAATAAATAAATAAAATTTAAAAGAGCCTTAGAGAATCAAGAATTTTTTTAGCCTCCATTCTTAAATTCGTTCCCTAATGGACTTGATTAAAGCCACACATCGAGGCTGTGGCGGAACCCAGACCATTGTCCAAATCTCCTTATCGTTGTTGTTGTTATTGACATCATTATCACTAGTTAGTATTTACAGACTGAGTATTTTCTTTGCAGTATGCTAAGTACATTACACACATGAAAACATTTGAGTTGACTTGAGTAGACATTTCTCCCAGAGGGTGTATAAATGGTCAACAAGCGCATAAAAAAAAGGTTGACGTCATCAGGTGTTAGAAAAATGCAAATGAAAACCAAAAGGAGAATCACCTTATACTCAGTGGGATGGTTGGAATATTAGAAATGGGGAAAAAGTGTTGGTGTGGACGTAGAGAAATTGGAACCCTTGTGCATTGCTGGTGGGAACGTAAAACTAGTTGCTGTGAAAAATCGTTCAGCTGTTCATCAAAAAGTTAAACGTAGAGTTACTATATGACCCAGCAATTAGACTCCTAGGTGTATATCCCCGAAACAGAAAACAGGTACTCAGGCATATACTTGCACACCAGTGTTTGCAGCTGCACTGTTAACAACAGCCAAAAGCATATTGCTGGGATCACAGTCCTAGCTAGCAGCGCTGAAGCCCACCTTCCTTATGAGGGAATTCGCTGGTGAGAAAAATGGTTTGGTAACAAGATTCAGACAAAAAGGCTAAGATGTGTCCCGCTTGGTCCTCCTGTCAGCCACAGAATCTTGTTGTCAGTATTTCGTTTCAGAGGAACATGGATGTGTGTGATGAAGGGAGAAACCCATGGAAGGAAACTGGAGGGAAGTTCCCGTTTATAACTGATGTGCTTTCTATGTGTGTCTCTGCCCAAATCTCAGGTCGAATTGTAATCCTTAATGTTAGAGGAGGGGCCGGGTGGGAGGTGATTGGATTACGGGGGCGGATTTCCCCCTTGCTGTTCTCGCGATAATGAGTGAGTTCTCACAAGATCTGGCTGTTTAAAAGTGTGTAGCACCTCCTCCCTTATCTTTGCTCTCTTCCTCCTGCTCCAGCCACGTGACGCGCGTGCTCCCCCTTGGCCTTCTGCCGTGACTGTGAGTTTCCCCAGGCCTCCCCAGCCATGCTTCCTGCACAACACGTGCAACGGTGATCCAATTAAACCTCTTTTCTTTATAAATTATCCGGTTTTGCCGGGCTTGGTGGCTCACGCCTGTAATCCCAGCACTGTGGGTGGCCGAGGTGGGCAGATCACTTGAGGTCAGGAGTTTGAGACCAGCCTGGCCAACATGGTGAAAGCCCATCTCTGCAAAAAATACAACAATTAGATAGGCATGGTGCCACATGCCTATAGTCCCAGCTTCTCAGGAGGCTGAGGCAGGAGAATCGCTTGAACTCTGGAGGTGGTGGTTGAGGTGAGCTGAGATTGCACCACTGCACTCCAGCCTGGGCAACAGAGCAAGACTTGGTCTCGAAAAAAAAAAAAAAAAGAAAGAAATTATTCTATTTCAGGTATTTCTTTATAGCAATGTGAGAATGACTAATACAATCATTTGCAACCAGGTGTCATCCAAAAGAGCACCATCAAAGTTCTGTTTTTGTTTTTCTGCAGTGACTGTTACACAAATAATATGTAGAGACAGCCTTGTGTGGGTGGAAGGAATTTTGTAGGGAGTTAGCTACAATCAAATGAACAAAGCACTATTTTCTTTCCCGAACACTCCTGTTGTGTCCTCGTTTCTATGCCCATGTCAGACCCTCTTCACTTCGTGTCTGCTCAGCCGCAGTGGCTTCCTTTTCCCAGTCTCTCCCCGGGGCAAGCAACTGCACCCTGCACACTCACTAGGTTTTCTAAGCCCTGCTTTCATGACATCTCTTCTTGATTTAACCATTTTGAATGGGTCCCCATTGGTTACTCAATGAAGTCAAATTTCTTTTTTTTTTTGAGACAAAGTCTCGCTCTGTTGCCCAGGCTGGAGCAGTGGTGCGATCTCGGCTCACTGCAAGCTCCGCCTCCCGGGTTCACGCCATTCTCCTGCCTCAGCCTCCCGAGTAGAGTAGCTGGGACTACAGGCGCCCGCCACCACGCCCGGCTAATTTTTTGTATTTTTAGTAGAGACGGGGTTTCACCATGTTAGCCAGGATGATCTGGATCTCCTGACCTCGTGATCCGCCCTTCTCAGCCTCCCAAAGTGCTGGGATTACAGGCGTGAGCCACCGCGCCCAGCCCAAATTTCTTAGTTTAGCTTTCAGGGGTCATCCACAACTTTTTAGATTCATTTTCCATGACTTCTCTATGTGAAGTCAAATTGGATCCTTCTTTTACCTTTTTTTTTTTTTAATCGGTAATACAAATTACTTTCCATGCATTATCTCATTTAAATTTTACAATGCCCAACAAGAAAGGTATTACACGGTTGAGGAGACTGAGGCTAGAGAAGGCAAATAAAACATATAACTGGCAAACGGCAGGGGAAGGATTTGAACCCAGGTCTGTTTGGTCTTCAAGCCCGTGCTTTTAGGTATTGGTCTGGATTTTGCCTTTACTTTCCTGTCTCCATATCATCTGTTCCTGCATTCTATCCCAAATGCCAACTCCATGAATGCCTTCCTTCACTTTCTTCTCCTGCTTTTCTGTGACTAATATTCCTAATACTCTGGCCTGGAAGAGTCTTCATTTGAATTCACATAGGAGAGCACATGTTTTCTGTCTGTGGCTGGCATTTTTCTTTTTATAGTTCTAATCCTCACACTACTAATTCAGTGATAGCACCAAGGAGGGCAGAAACCATGTCTAACGCTTCTTGTATCTCTGACCCTGTCTAGCACAATATCTTGCTCACAATAGTTGTTCAATAATTATTTGTTCTATAATTCTTATAGATTACCTGCCAGGGGAAAAAATTTGTTATATAGATTTGTTTGTTAAGGTTATTTATAAGATTGGATTTTATGTCCAAGGTCTTTTTCTAAATGTAATACTTCGATGTTTTGGGAGCACTTGAATAAACAGGTTGAACATTAGGACAATATTCCTAATTTTGACATGCGACTAAAGTGCTTAAAGTACTAAGTGCTAAAACTTACTTTTATCCAAGTGCTTACGTGAACCAACATTGAGACTAAAGGGAAAAGAAATTACTGTATGCAAATCTGTTACTTTTAAGCCTCTTATTCTCCTGAGTTTCATGATAGGTCCATATAGACAAATTAATTTACAGAAGTAGTCAGCATAACTGCTAAAAATGCAAGCATAAACTACTATGCACTTTTTCCTTTGTGGGACTTCTGCATATTTCAATATTCAGTTCATCACCTTTAAGGTTTCAAATTCACCAGCTGTAGGAACACCTATCAGATTACAGTGCAGCACTAAAAATAAACTGATGTTATTGAAAATGAATGAATCAGCACATTCTTAGCTGAGTTGTTTTCTCATGTGACTCATACTACTTAACTAACTTTTTCTTTGTGATTGTTCATTTATCATATCAAAAGTTTCTTTGGATATCTGCTTCTTTAAGTACAAAAGCACAGTCTTGTTGAAACATTCTGTGGAAAACAACATAACTCTCTGCTCTGGAGTTGTAAAAGTAAGACATTAATGGGACCAGTTACTATAGATTTAGCTAAAAACCTTTCTTCATTTTTTAAAGACAAGGAGAGCCATATCGATATAGTCTGTTTAACAATCAAATTTCCTTTCACAGAGTTCATACTAAACTTCTCAAAACCCTCTGCTTAGTTTAGGCCAGAGGATATTCTTGATGGAGCTCATCTCAAAACCACTTGGAGTCCAAAGTGTCTATGCAAAACCGTTAATCTGAGAATGTGTCTAAACACCAACCTTGAGACAGGCTGCAATTTACTGTTCTCTATGACAGACAAATAGTTAGGAAAGCTCTGTCATTTAACCCCATTGCTTTCTTTGGTAGTCATGGAAAGGTTTTGTTTCATACTGCCTTGTCATATAAAAGACTACAAAATCTGTCAACACGGTATAACTTTACATATAAAAGTAATACCATGCATAGATATTTCAGTCATCATGTGAAAAATAAACAAGATAATCTTTAAACCAATGTCATTAGCAAAGAATCAATGTGGAGACGCATTGATGGATTTTATCGCTGAAATTGAGAAGATATGGACATTTCACTATTTTATTTTGACACGGATGCTACTGGCCAAATCTTCAACCTGTATACACAAATACACAATTGTAAAGGTGTCTTGTTTACAAAGGTAGGGCTTGTCCTCTTTGCATAGTTGGAGCTTTTCACTTTGTTGACAATTTCTAAAAACTAAACATATTCTTGGGTACACATTTCAGGGGTTACCTGTTTAATCTGCTTCACCAGTACTACCAGCGTGTGTTTGATTGCATCTCTTAATCTATGCTAGACTCTCAGGCTAACTTGCATTTTGTGAAATACATATAATATAACCAGACACTTAAGCTCAATCTAACATAAGGACATCCTCCTTATGTTAGAAATTGTCAAAAAAGTAAAAAGCTCCAACAATGCAAATATTTAATTTTTAATTTTCTAATTTTTTAATTTGTTTGAGACAGGGTCCAGCTCTGTCACCCAGGCTGGAGTGCAGGGGTGCAATGATGGCTCACTGCAGTCTCCCAGGCTCAGGTGGTCCTCCTGCTTCATCTTCCCAACTATCTGGAACTACAAAGCGCACGACACCAACACTGGCAAATTTTTAATTTTTTTTTTGTAGAGATGGTGTCTCCCTGTGATGCCCAGGCTGGCCTCCAACTCCTTGGCCCAAGGGATCCTCCCATCTCGGTCTCCCAAAGTGCTGGGATTACGGGCGTGAGCAGCCACGCCCAGCACTTTAATTTTAATTTTTTACTTTGTGTGACGCTTAATTGTAAGTAAGGCAGTTCCCACTGATTTTGCATAACCCCATGCCAATTACCACGTAAATATATATGAGGGTATGTTGGGGAGCATTTTATAAAGTTTCGGAGGAGGGGATAATATTAAGACCCTCATCATGGATTACAATAGAACCTCTTGTTCAGCACTGAGGGTAATCAAAACTGATGTATGAAATTCACACACGGTCTAAAGTGACAGGCCAGAAAAAAAAGTAACTTAGATGCCTTTTCAGTAACTTTGCAGTTTTTATTTTTAAGTGACTGACAGCAGAAGTGCAACAAGATAGAAAAGCAAGCAGCTAGATGGAGTGAGTGCCATCTGACCCAAAGTCATGCGAACTCTGCTGAAATGACTACCTTATGTAGGTCATTGTTTTTCACTGGGAGCCCACTTCCTCGCCAGTTGCAATTTGAAATCTGTGCAAAGCGCTAGAAGAGGCTGAGATAAGTGAAAGGACAAAATTCAACAGCAACACCATCTCAAACGGGCCCCCTGCTCTCCTTGAAAGAGTTCCCACCAGCAACTCAGAACAACCCCAGTAAAGGCATGTCATAGAAATGACAACTGAATCACGTATGTGCAACCTCATCTGGTGAATTTCACCTGACAGACACCATCTGAACCACATCCTGAACTTTCTGAGACAGGTGACATATTGAGATATTTGGCCCCCAAATAGAGAGCTAACAAGTAAGTTTCAATATCATATATTACGAGTGCCACATAGCTGGGGAATGCATATACCTGCCTAGAGAACATATGCTTCCTAGTTTTTATAATATTTCAAATCATTGTTTGCAGACTTTAATCCTATAACAAGTGGCCATCAGAAACATTCATTTTGGTTTATACCCGCAATTATGTAATTAGCATTCTTAGTTTTAAGGTATTTCAAAATTCATCCTCAGTTTATGTTTCTGTATGTGTGTGTGTGTATTACAAGTTGAACTTTTAAATTGGTATTTGCTATAGAAAATCTGTTTAGGTGATGGTTCTAGGTAACCCATAGACCGGGGGTCTTCAATGTCTGGGCTGTGAACTTGTATGGGCCCGTGACTTGTTAGCAACTGGGCCACACAGCAGGAGGTGAGTGTTGGGCCAGTGAGTATTACTGCCTGAGCTCTGCCTCCTGTCGGATCAGCGGCACATTAGGTTTTCACAGAAGCGTGAATCCTATTGTGAACTGTGCATGGAAGGGATCTCGGTTGCATGCTCCTTATGAGAATCTAATGCCTGATGATCTGAGATAGAACAGTTTCAACCTGAAACCATACCCCATCCACCAGCGTCTGCCATCCATGGAGAAATGGTCTTCCATGAAATTGGTCCCTGGTGCCAAAAAGGTTGGGGACTGCTGCCATAGACTACTTTTATTTATTTATTTACTTTTAGATACAGAGTCTCACTCTGTTACCCAGGCTGGAGGGCAGTGGTGCAGTCATGGCTCACTGTAACCTCAAACTCCTGGACTTAAGCGATCCTTCCACCTCAGCTTCCTGAGTAGCCGGGACTACAGATGTGTACCACCACCCTGCTGATTTTTGTACTTTCGATAGAGATGGGGTCTACCTGTGTTGCTCAGGTCTCAAACTCCTGGGCTTAAACAATCCTCCCACCTTGACCTCCCAAAGTGCTGGGATTACAGGTCTCAGCCTAATAAGGCCAATTCTATAGACTAGGATTTTTTTTTCTTTTGAGACAGGACCTTACTCTGTCACCCAGACTGGAGTGCAGTGGCACAATCATGGCTAACCCCATCCTCCACCTCCTGGGCTCAATTGATCCTCCTGCCTCAGCCTCCAGAGTAGCTGGGACTACAGGTGTGCACTACCATGTCCAGTGAATTTTTCTTTTTTTTTTTTTTCTTTTTTTTTTTTTTTTTGTAGAGACAGAGTCTCACTATGTTGCCTAGGCTGGTCTTGAACTCCTGAGCTCAAGCAATCCTCCCGCCTTGGCCTCCCAAAGTGTTGGGATTACAGGCATGAGCCACTGCACAGGGTTCCACAGACTATTCTTAAGGAAATACCACAGTACTTGTATTGGGAATATTGTCTTCAAGATGGATGGGTGCATTTGTATGCAGTATCTATATTTTCAGTGGAACTTCCCTTCCAGTAGAGCACCAAAACATTTGTTCCTTTTTTTATGTAAAATTACCTAAATATTTGTTTTAGAAATGTTATTGAAATCTAAAAGAAACAATCACAAAAAGAATTTGTGATGCACTTTGAAAGTGCATTTTGGTAAACTGATTAAAAATTTTGACACTGATTTCCTTTAGGTGATGATGTGCTTCTTAAAACTATAATAGTTTCAATATTCTTTTTAATAAAGGTGAGACAAAGCTTAAGGAAACCAGCATAGTAGTAGCATACTCATGTATCTTGTTCTTGAAAATCAAGGAGATCATAAACTGAAGGTTAAAGTTGTATCTGTAGCAAGAAGGTTGCAGGTATTTGCTTCTAAAACCAGCTGTGTTCTCAGTTTTCGTCCTTTGCCACTGTAGCAGATGCCACCTGCATATCCCAGCATGACCTGCTGCTGTCTTCACATCCGCCTCTCCTTAATTCTGCCCCAACACTGGGCATCTGATCCTGGATACAATTTCTGATCTCTTTCTGCTTAGTCAACTCTAGCTTGCCACAAACACACACACACACACACACACACACACACACACACGAGCTATGACTTATTCCTCAAAACTTTGTTTTAGCTCCTTCAAAAACAGTAAAAGCTGATTTCAAATTTCTATCATCTGCTTTTATTATACTCCAGAGCACCTTAACTAATATTTTATGTCTTCAGAGATTAAAATGTTGCCCTTCAGAAAGGGAAAGGAACATTTTAATAATTACAGATTAAGAACCTTAAATAATTTCTTAGGGAATGAAACACTAAAAATAAATTCGATAAAAATATCAGCTTTTTTCCTAGAGATTTATTAATTTCTTTATTCAATTGAAGAGTTGGATCACAGATATATAAAGGTGTTAGAAGTAGGATCTGCTTATTATTTTTACTATAGTTCTCTCTTCTTTAAAGAAAAAAGTTGCAAAAGCACATTTGCTAGTGAACTTTATGTTCTAGATAAAGGAGCTTTCTTCTATCTCTGGGGCGAGTTTTACTGTAACACTGTCAAGAATCTAAACACCAAACCTAAATTTTATGAAATATATGTAATAAGTTGCTAAACTGGGCAAAATGGAGTCAACATATCACCTAAAAACTTAGTGTCTTCTTAACGCTTTTGTAAATTTTACATTTCAAAAAATGTACTCTTTATGCCACCAGAGACATAGCTAGGATGGAAGCAAATGGTATCTCTTGATTCTCCTATGCAATTAATTGGTAGCCATACGACTGTCTACAGCCCCAGAACTCACCCTATGTGGAGATAAAATCAAATGTATTCCAGTGGAATTGTGTTCTTGCCTAAAAAAATAAAAAATTGCCCCCCCCCACCCCAAATATCCTGCCTATTTTATGGCTAAAAAGATATGGGAATTATTTTGAAAGATGCTACTTTCTTATTTAATTAAGAATTAGCAAAACCTGAAGCCTCATAGCATGTTCCGTGACTTTACTATATATGCCATCCAATTCTTTGCTTTAGATAAGATGGCTCTTTTAGATATTTAACATGGTCAATGACATATATATTTTTAAAAACTGATTTTTAAAAATGCTATTGATTTGCTCTATCCCTCAACACTTGAGGCCTTTATTTGGTTTACAAAGATGCTCAGTTTTCTGGCAGAAATCCTCCATGGGGATTTCCAGTTTGTCTTGGACTCCTTTGAGGTGAAGGACGCTTCTCATTACGTTGAAGTTTATGCCAAACTGTGCGATTACCTCACGAGGTCAGTCGGCATGTAGGTAGGAAGAGAACCACATGACCAGCCAGAGGTGAAATGAACGATTTGGGGCCCAGTGCTATAGCTCACACCTGTAATTCCAGCATCTTGGGAGGCGAAGGCAGGGGGATCACTTGAGGCCAGGAGTTGGAGACCAGCCTGGGCAACATAGTGAGAACCCGCCTCTACAAAAATTAGCTGGGCATGGTGGTGTGCCTGTAGTCCCAGCTACTTTGGGAGGCTCAGGCAGGAGGATCGCTTGAGCCCAAGAATTCAAGGCTGCAGTGAGCCACGATCATGCCACTGCACTACTGCCTGGGCCATGGAGCAAGAGACTTTGTCTCTTAAAAAAAAAAAAAAAAGAAAAGAAAAGAAAAAAAAGATAAAAGATAAAGAAAGATTTGGGTCTAAGTGGATATAACTTCTTTATTTTCTTTCTTTCTGCAGCAGTTTATAATTTCTCTCTCTCTCTCTCTCTCTTTGAGAAATTTCTCTGACTTTAAAATGTCTGATTCCTCCGGTGTTCAATCCCAGTCTCTGAGGTCCATGCTTTATTCTCCTCCAGGATCCAGTCCCCCTCTAAATACTTATCATCCAATGCATTGTATAAAGAGAATTCCCAGCAGTAGATTTTGAAATGAAAGATGAAGTGTTGAGCATCTGAGCGTTTTCAGGTGCTGGTGTCAGTGCCTGCAATGCCTCCTGTTGACAACGATGGCTATCACTGGGGCATTCGAGATCTCTCTATTCTGAACAGTCTTCAGAAATCAGCCGTATCTGATTGTTCTTTCAGATCAAACGAAGCAGGAAGACAAAGTAAGCTGAACATATTCTTTCACTCTGCACTTTGTTGTTAAAAGGGGGAGGAATCCCACTAGGACCCCTAACTCCAAACTTTTGTAAGAATTCCTATTCTTCCTCCCCAGCTCCTGTTATCCCCCACCCACCTCCCTCCATTCTCTGTTCACTGATTGCATTGAATAAATGTTTCTTTGCTCCTCTAAGGATTGTTCTGTACTACTAAGAATTAACAGTGGATAACACCAAGGCAGACCACAGATAAACTAAACTAAAGGACATTTGCTGTTTTCAGAGAACATGGCATGCAGCTGCCGGCATTTAGCTTCAGCCAAGATAATTTCCTTTCTTCAAAAGAATAGTGGCAAACTTTGCAATATCATTCTTGGAGCTAATGTTGCTGCAGTCTTTTTAAAGGTGGTTTATCCTGTGTAAAATGCAAAACACTTCAGTTTGCTCTCAGAGGTGGGTAGATGAGAAGGACACCAGTCTAAGTTAGACTCTTTTACCAGGAGCTAACTCTGTTGTTGATAAATGATCTTTTGAAGAGAGAAGATGTGGCAAAGTGCCTGCCATCGAAAACAGCAAGGAAAATAACAGTGTAGTTGGTCTGCTTCTTAAAACGTATTTCTTACTGGACACGGGAAGACATTTTCATCAAATTGGAACGTGACATAATGTATAACATGTCAAAGACATTGTTAAAAACAAACAAATTGGAATTGAGCTGCATACAGTTAGTCTTAGATCTCTCAGTCGGTTTTACACATTAAGACGGTTGAGCATGCAGAGCTTATAAATTCTCCTGTTGGAGGGGTTTTTGGAGAATTTCACGTAACTCAGTGGGATCTTGGTGGGGACACTGACATTTACCACTGAGTTCTTTAATGACAGCTAAACAGGAGAACACCACTCCTAATTTACTCAAGTACAATTCAATATCACAAGGCAATTGCAGAACACTGTTCTTTTATAAAACCAATTTTTGTGCTACGATTTTTAACTCTTTTATTTACAAGTGACTTCAGTTTGCTTCTCCAACCCTGTATTATCCTGCACATGAGTTTTTGTATATAATTATTGTTTCCCTTCCTCTAACACTTTCTGCTATCATTAATCATATTTATATGATATACGCACTTATCTTTAATTTTAAGTGTAACACAGGTTCCAAGTCAGCATTCCAGCTTAAGTCATATGGATTTATAGCTCCTGTCCATCCACCCCTAGAACTACTTGTCTTTGTGTTCACAGAGTGGCAAATGGTTGATCACTTTTTAATCCTACAAGATGGCCCAGTGTCCTGCCATTTCTCTAGCTGGCAAGAGGTCTGAATAAGAGAGCAGGAAATTAGCGCTACAGCAAGTGAGAGCGGTGGATTAGGGACACATGAACCTCCTAGCCCCAGGAAGGTAGCTGCCTGCCTCTGCCGGGTGTCCAGAGCAGAAGGAGGCAAGGATCATCAAGGCAGGACCTCAAAAGTGACTTTGACATGCATACTATCCTCAAGGGAAGTGAGATAAATGAGCTTAACCGAGCCAGAGCGTGAGTGAGACATATCACAAGAGGGGAACATGTAGCATCTGTGGGAGGTCTATTTATTTATTTATTTATTTATTTATTGTTTTGAGACATGGTCTTGCTCTGTTGCCCAGGCTGGAGTGCAGTGGCACCATCATGGCTCACAGCCTTGACCTCCTCAGGCTCAAGCAATCCTCCTGCCTTAGCCTCCTGAGTAGCTGGGACTATAGGTGTGCACCACCATGCTGGGCTAATGTTTGTATTTTTTGTAGGGATGGGATCTCACCATCTTGCCCAAACTGGACTCGAACTCCTGGGCTCAAGCGATCTGCCCGCCTTGGCCTCCCAAAGTACTGGGATTAAAGGCATGAGCCACTGTGCCTGGTTGAGCATCCATAGAGACGGAAGGAAGTAAATGTTACTTCCAACTGGGAGCCAGTGTGGGTAGGTTGGTGGTGAGAAGAAACATCAAGGAATAGGCTCGCAGATAAACTTCTCCTACCTCCGAGCTCTGGTTCTGGAATGCTCTTCTTCCAGCTCTCACATGGCATTAGTGCTCAGCCTGAAAGGCATCTTCCCCAAGGAGTCTCCTATGACCTCTCCTTCTAAGTAAAATTCTCCTGTTATTCTTTTTTTTAATTAAAAAATTTTTATTTTTTGTGGGTACATAGTAGGTGTATATATTTATGGGGCACATGAGATGTTTTGATACAGACATATAATGCATAATGATCACATCACATGGAGAATGGGGTACCATCCACTCAAGCACTTATCCTTCATGTTATAACCAATCATGTTATAACCAATCTAATGACAATCTAATATCCTTCATGTTATAACCAATCTAATGACATTCTTTTAGTTATTTTTAAATGTACAATTTGTTATTGACTATAGTCATCATGTTATGTTGCCAAATAGTAGGTCTTATTCATTCTTTCTATTTGTTTTTGTCCCAATCTCCTGTTATTCTCTATCAAAAGATCCTATTAATTTCTCCCCTAACAGTACGTCACACTTGGTAACTATGTAATCAAGTTATTTGTTTCACGTAAGCTGTTGCTAAAGAAATTAATCTCTACAGGTGACCATGAGTCTCTTTCACCTCTTTATTCCAAGCACTGAGCACACCGTCTAACACTTACAGACATACAATAAATATTTGTTGAACAAGACAGTGAATCAATCAGATGGACTGGGTTATACGGAGATGGGCAGTGGGCAGGAGGAGAGAAGGGAGAGGCCATCTTGGCAGAGGAAATGTGTGCATCTTCTGTATGGTGTCACCAAGACGGTTCAGGCTGGCTGGAGCACATGGAAGATGTAAATGAGTGATAAGAGATAAGTTTGAAAAGGTAAATGAGGGCAGGAATGCTGGGCTATTGATTTTATGCTTGATTCTTTAGGTAAGGGAGAGTTTTTGAGCAGGCGATCGACATCATTCCCTTTGATCATCTTATGTCTTCAACCTACAGACTCGGGAGGAAGAGCATGTCTTTGCTTTAACTGCATCAAGTGTCAAAGCTACGATCTTTTGACCAGACCCATGGACCCCAGAGAGAGTTGGTTGAGCTGTCAGGGGCCTGGGATTTAAACGGAAATGAGTTCCTATGACCTGCTGAGTCCTACAGTGTGAAGGTTCATATCAGGCCAAGCCCAGCATCTGAGATCAATTCAAGTGAACAGATTAAATGCCTCTAGGATGTGTTCAGCCCTGTGGTGAAATACAAAATAAATCAAAAGCAGGGTTCCCCTGCCTTAAAGAGCAGGAGAGAGCTGTCTCAGATGAAATTGCTGTAGCAACCTCCCCACTTGAGGGGCTGCAAAGGACTCAGGCAAAGCTCAGGTGCACAGTACCTCTCCTCCTACAGAGCTGCCACCCTGGGGCCCAGGACATCGATTAGTGCCACTGTGGACCCCTGTGGTCATGGGTCTATCCTGGACCAGACACAGCCCAAGAGGCAGTATGAGAATGCCCTAGATGGGCAATTAGCTGGCCAGGGCACTCGAGCTGTCCCTAAGCATCCATGTTTCACTGGGCAAGCCATTTTAATAATCAGAATGTGTTTATCATTTCAAAATATTGGGCATTTGTTAATTTATCAACTACTCATTGTGTATCCACTAAACGCTAAGCACTGTGCTGAAGGAGCCCCAACTTTTCTGGGCTCGTGTTAGAAACAAATGAGATAATGAATGGGAAATATGCCCTCCAACTGCAAATTCCTATACAGTGTGAACCATTTTTGGTTTGTAGAGGAGCCTACACAGCTGCCTGAGATAGCCTGGGAGTATTGCATCTCATCTGGTCATAGAAAATACTGCTAAAAAGCCAGGAGAGGTGGCACTCACTTGTAGTCCCAGCTAGTCAGGAGGCTGAAGTGGGAGAACAATTTGAAACCAGAAGTTTCGGTCCAGCCTGGGGAACATAGTGAGATCCCATTAGATCCCATTTGTATTATATATAATGTATATGTATATATACTGCTAAAATGCTATATTTGAATCAGGACTTTAAGGCCTAAAACGCAATGAAATATACAAACACAAAAGTTCATCAGATTTTTAGGACACCTTTTAAAGCTGGAACCTCAGAGTTTGATTCCCACGTATAAAAATATTTATGTGGAGAAATGAGTTTATATTCTCATCCTTGACTTACAGAAACACTTTACTCCCAATGCACTCCTGGCAATAAGAGCAGGTCCATTGGCCCCCATTTCCCATCTGCTGTGATCCTGTGATGACTGACTCGCCCAGAGTAGAGAACTCAGTTGTGGGGAAGTCTGAACAGGGTGGGGAGGAATGTTAGGTGAATGTTAGGCAAATGCAGAGCTCCGAGGTGAAGAGCTGAGTGAAAGCACTGAAGGGTGAAGAAGTGAGGTTTGTGGCTATGAAAACGAGGGAAAAGGTACAACCTTGCTGCCATTAAGCAGGCAGCTATTGGTGGCGAGGCTTCAACAGCCCAGCTGGCCCTTGAGAAACAATGCCTCTGAATTTAGCTTCACTGCTGGCCTCTGTGGTCCCGAAGCCCATTTCCCACCTGTTGGTGGGAACGTCAGCTTGCACACTTCTGTAGCCTGAGTTCCATGTTTACCGTTTCCTTCTCTCCCCCATCTCATTGACACTATGCTCTTGCTTCTGATGACATGACCCAAATCTAGCTGGGCTCTTTGATTGTGTAACTCAGGTGCCTGTTCCTTCATAAGAGGTCTATGGATAAAAGGCCTCTCTATGCAGGATCTTCATGATTTCTGGGGCTTGTAAGAGGCGACTTAAGTAGAAATATTAATATAACCTAGACCAGCATTTTTCAGCTTTGGCACCACTGACATTTGGGGTTAGATAATCCTTTGCTGTGGGGACTTCTCTATGCACTGTAGGATGTTTAATAGCATCCCCTACCTGCTGGAGGCCAGTAATACCCCCTCCCCAGGCGGTGACAAGGGAAAATGGCTCTTGATATTGCCAAATGACCCCTGAGAGGCAAACCTGTCCTCATTTGAAAACACCGAGCTATACAGATAAACTAGAACAACATTTTAGGGTAATCTTTAGTGCTTTGTCTCCAACATGACTTTCTGAGAAGGTAATTCAATTATTGCAATGATCTTAAGTACTCAAAGTATTAAAACTTCTGAAATCTTCAACTATCTAATTGTGTTATACAGGGCAACCTTGCTATAACTATAAATTATATGCCCAGACAATACCACATTTGTTCCTCCAAAGTAGGCAACTAGAAAATATTTGTTAAGTGAATAAATTATGCTCTTTAAGAAAGGAAAAATAGCATGCCTGTAATCCCAGCACTTTGCCCGAGGCGGGCAGATCACCAGGTCAGGAGATCGAGACCATCTTGACCAACATGGTGAAACCCCATCTCTACTAAAAATACAAAAAATTAGCCGAGCGCGGTGGCAGGCGCCTGTAGTCCCAGCTACTTGGGAGGCTGAGGCAGGAGAATGGCGTGAACCCAGGAGGCGGAGGTTGCAGTGAGGCGAGATAGCGCCACTGCAGTCTGGCCTGGGCGAAAGAGCAAGACTCCATCTCCAAAAAAAAAAAAAAAAGAGAGGAAAAATAACTTCATTTGCTTTTTTTTTTTGAGAAGTAGTTTTGCTCTTGTCGCCCAGGCTGGAGTGCAATGGTGCAATCTCAGCTCACTGCAACCTCCACCTCCCAGTTTCAAGCGATTCTCCTGCCTTAGCCTCCCGAGTAGCTGGGATTACAGGCGCTTGCCATCACACCTGGCTACTTTTGTATTTTTAGTAGAGATGGGTTTTCACCGTGTTGGTCAGGCTGGTGTTGAACTCCTGACCTCAGGTGATCCACCTGCCTCGGCCTCCCAAAATGGTGGGATTACAGGCATGAGCCACCATGCCCAGACTTCATTTGCTTTTATCTCTGGCCCAAGGAGTCTTGAAACATATTTTTCTGCCACATTAATCAGCACACCAAGAGCAGATGTGAACTGAGGACTCAACAGAATGTGGGCGCTTTGCATTCCTATGCCAGCCACTGTAATCGCCAGTGGCTGAAGATGATCTCTGGAGGCCATTTGAATATTCCTGTGCCATCTAGTTTAAACAATATAATGTTTTTAAAAATTAAAGTTGCATTCTTTTTTGTTTTGTTTTGTTTTTTTCAGGTGGAGTCTTGCTCTGTCACCCAGGCTAGAGTGCTGTGGTGCAGTCTTGGCTTACTGCAACCTTTGTCTCTGGGGCTCAAGAGATTCTCCCACCTCAGCCTCCTGAGTAGTTGGGATTACAGGTGTGCACCGCCATGCCTGGCTAGTGTTTGTATTTTTAGTAGAGATGGAGTTTTGCCACGTTGTCCAGGCTGGTCTTGAACTACTGACCTCAAGCAATCCGTCTGCCTTGGCCTCCCAAAGTGCTGGGATTACAGGTGTGAGCCACCGCAGTCAGCCACAATAGAATTTTCTTTCAGAAATTCTGCACTAGTCTCTTTCCTCCTCTTAATTTTCACAGCATGTCACTGGGCCTTTGCTGTATCATGAATCACTGTATTTGATGTGTTTTGTTTATGACTTATTTCCCTTAACAATCTGAGAACTGTTTGTAGGTCAGATAAATGTTTGATTCATCTTTTGTATTCCAACAAGGGATACACACAAATTAAAGAAATACATATTTTTAGGCCAGGTGTGGTGGCTCACGCCTGTAATCCCAATACTTTGGGAGGCCGAGGTGGGTGGATCACCCGAGGTCAGGAGTTTGAGACCAGCCTGGCCAACACGGCAAAACCCCATCTTTACTAAAAATACAAAAATTAGCCAGGCGTGGTGGCAGGTGTCTGTAATCCCAGCTACTCAGCAGGCTGAGGCAGGAGAATTGCTTGAACCTGGGAGGCGAAGGTTGCAGGGAGCCGAGATTGTACCACTGCACTCCAACCTGGGAGACAGAGTGAGACTCCGCCTCAAAAAAAAATTTTTTTTTAATTAAAAAAAATACATATTTTTTAAACGTGCCCTTGCCTTTAAGGACTCAATTTCTCTTCTAAGTCAATTTTCTCAACTACAGGCCAATGCCTGGGTTTTAATGTTTTCAGTCTGAAAGGATCAGCACCAAGTTCTTAATTGTTCCCTGATTTATACGTGATACTCCCCAAGAGATATTTGTGTATAGCCACAGATCTCACCCATGGTAAAGATAAATAAACGCCATTTAAGCTGTCGCCGATGCCGAGATCTGTGACTGGCACTCAAATCCTTCTTAGACTTTTCCTTTTCCTCTTAAACGGTAATCAGATCTCTCCTTGAGTGCCACTTTCCCTTGATTTTGAAATTTGGCATTTAATGTAATTGTGATTTTAAAAATCCATCAAGAGCAGGGATACGGCTCATGTCAGTGAGAGACGTTATGCGTCAGTGCTTTGCACGCTGAACTTCCCCGCTGAAGCTAATGGGTGACGTTTGAATGGGGGTAGAGGACCCAGGAGGCAATTCCAGGTGACACTAGGTTGCTGACCACTCTGAAGAGCAGAATAGCTGAAGTGCTTTCTCCGCCCACCTCTCACTGTCCCTTTCCAGGGTAGAGGAAAGCAAGTCTTCTAACTGGCTACAAGCTACACTAAGGTAGGTCTTAAGGTCAAAATCTGATACAGAAGAGGGAGTACTGATTCAGGGTTTTCTTTGCACACCTCATTCTTTGGATAAAGGCCTATTGCACTTTATATAAATCTACCCTAAGATCATGCTTGAACCAAAGAACTTTTGTTCACGAAGTGTGTCAATGGTAAGTAATTGAACAGAGAAAAAGGGTGATAGGTAGATCTATAGCTGGACATAGAAAGAGACACACACAGAAGCCAGCACACAAATTGCCAGTTTCTCCTTGAGTGACTCTGAGAAGTACCAGCTGCTGCCTGACTCCCCCATGCTATGTGGGTCAGAAGGATATGAGGACCCAACTATTAAAAACATCACAACAAAATGTACCCTTAGTTGGTCCTAAGGAGTTATAGAAAGCTCCTCTAATTGGCCACATCAGAGCAGATTTTGAACTTCTTGCATGAAAACAACTTACCATTCCTGGTGATAACACCATTTACAATGAGGTTTTACTCTTAAGTGTTCAGGAATAATAGACACAGTATTTTTAAATAAGTGTGTTGCAACAGGCAGGCAGTGTTTTCAAAAGCATCATCTGCTCTCCTTTTAGAAAGGTAGGTTGCTGCTCTGCTGGAAAAGTGAGATTGGCTCTCATGAAATTTCTTTCAATAAACAGTGTCTGAGAGGGATTTTTCTTTTTTGGCACTTGAATGGTACATATGTAAAAAGAAAAAAGTTTCCTTTATAGAGGTACAAAAACATATCCTTTACCCTGAACATGCTATTCGATTGAAGTCACCTTTGTGAATTCAACTGAGTTTTGTTGTGTTTACAAATTGAATATTTTTTTACATCTGACTCTTCTAAAAATTTGCTGTAGTTGAACAATTTATCACTATTAGTCTTGTTCAGATGTTATAAATCAACAAAGAGCATGATTATCTGGTAATATCTATGTGTTTGGATTAAGTAAACATAAAATCGGTGAACTAAGGAGGTGTTATTCTTAGGAAAACGAGAAAAGAAAAAAATGGAAGTAGATAGTAATCTATGAAATCCATATTTTACTTTGATACACACCTATACTTGTAATGCTTACTAAATAAAATATACTCTTGTTAGTAGATAACAATTATTTTCTGGCTAATCATATTTTATCATAGTTTAGTATCCATCATCATGTGAACTCTGGAATATCTAAATTTGTACAATAAGGAACTTTGCTAAAATTGTGGGGGGAACTGATGAAAATTTACTTTTAGCTTATTTCACATTGATTAAATGAGTTCTTATATGAGAATTATTATAAAAGGTTATTGGTGAATTATCAGGGCACATTAAAGAGGTTTATTTAGGTAATATCTGCATGGCAACCACAAACTCCTGTAGAATATTCCTCGGGGCCACTGCGGGGAATCGACTGGGCTGCATGGATCACTGAGCTCATTTGGTATGACATTTCTTATATAGTCAGGTTCACAAAGCAAGAGATAAATCAGCTGTGGAAAACTGTATCTCATAAATAACGTCATAATTGGAAAGGATTTCAATCAAAAGATCTGAAAGCACCTATAGTCTGATGAGGCTCAGTTTAGACATATACATAGCAGATGAATGGGGTACGATGCACTTATACGATGCTGAAACCCAAGAGCCAAGGTCAGAGAATTCTGAGTTGCTGCCTCTACACAACGTTAAGAATATCAGTGTTGGTTATTCAAAGCCATCTCTGTGCTCCTAGAATAGATGCTGCCTACTATATTATTTCCCGGGAAAATGGTTCATTTATTCATGCATTTTTTTTTTTTTTTTTTTTTTGAGATGGAGTCTCGTTCTGTCACCAGGCTGGAGCGCAGTGGTGCACTCTCGGCTCACTGCAATCTCCACCTCCCAGGTTCAAGTGATTTCCCTGCCTCAGCCTCCTGAGTAGCTGAGACTACAGGTGTGCACCACCACGCCCCGCTAATTTTTTGTATTTTAGTAGAAACGGGGTTTCACCATGTTGGCCAGGATGGTCTTGACCTCCCGACCTCGTAATCCACCCACCTCGGCCTCCCAAAGTGCTGGGATTACAGGCATGAGCCACTGCGTCCAGCCTATTCATGCATTTAACACATACTTATGGAGATTTTTCTATATACTTGCCATGTTTCCTGCCAGTGTCAGCAAGTGGAATTATGACAGTCCTTTTAGTAGTGGAGTTCTCTGAAACTAGACATGACCATCCCTTCTAACCCTCCTATTTATCAGGCATATTTACCTCTGGTAATCTTTCCTAAAGCAGAACTTTCTAGTCAGAAGCTAACAAGAAAGATGACTTCAACAGAAAACTGGCAATTGGCTACATTTCCTAGAGGTAAAGCTTTCAACATTCATTGCACCTCCCTAAATCTTATTGCAGTGTGATCAGAGAGGTAGGATCTGCTATGCTTGAATTGTGGCTGCTGCATTAAAAAAGAAAAATTCTTGGCATTGCCTATAAGAACATTGACGATATCTGCACGCTACCTAAAAAGTCTTGGGATTGAAAGTTCAAAATAGAAACCTGCTATAGGACATGGTGCTCTTCTGAAATAATTATCTCAAATAATAGTAATAGGCAGAAATTATTGTGTTATATACAAAGGTATCTTCATTTATTTATTTATAGACATGGGGCCTCATTTTATCACCTGGGCTAGAGTACAGTGGCAGGATCATGGCTCACTGCAGCCTTGACCTCCAGGACTCAAGCAATCCTCCTGCCTCAGCCTCTCGAGTATCTAGGTCTATAGCAGCATGCCCCCACACCTGGTTGTTATTATTATTATTATTATTATTATTATTATTTAGTTTTTTGTACAGCTGGGGTCTTGCTATATTGCCCAGGCTGGTCTCAGACTCCTGACCTCAAGTGATCCTCCCACCTCAGCCTCCCAAAGTGCTGGGATTACCATGCTTGGCCTAAAGGTGCTTTTATAGTGCACAATTTGTTGAGCATTAGTTTACAGATACCTTAGTAGATTGATCAAATTTTGTCTTCATAAATCAATAGTAGGGAGGTATATTATTTCTACTGTACAGATTAAGAAACTGAGATATAAAAAGATAATATTTCCAATTTGTAAGAATTAGAAAGTGACAGAATAAGAATCTGAATCTCATTCAGTTAGTTCCAAGGCCCATGCTATCTTCATGATTTAAAATGGCACTTCATGTAGCATTTTATCTATTTATTTTTACTGATTAGAAAACTGAAAGCAAAAAGGTACCACATATTTTAAAAAACTGTATAATACCCTAGGAAATACTTTCTCTGATTCCTGAGTTAATAAACAGAAGCTTTTGTCCCCTTGCCTCTGGTCATCTTGCTTTGCTCCTCTCCTGACTGTTTTCTGTTGATGGTTCACTGTGACCTCGACCTCCTGGGCTCAAGTGATCCTCCCATCCTGGCCTCCCAAGCAGCTGGGACTACAGGCACATGCCAATATATCTGGTTACTTTTAAATTTTTTTGTAGAAATGAGGTTTCACTCTATAACCCGGATGGTCTCAAACTCCTGGGCTCCAGCGATTGTCTCACCTATGCTTCCCAAAGTGCTGGGACCACAGGCATGAGCCACTGTGCCCGGCCTAGGTTTTAAGTCTGTGAGGTTAATGCTTTGTATCTGATCACAGACTAAATTGAAATAATAAACTTCAGAGTAGTGCTTTTTATCATGTTTCAAAGTGACTTTGCCAACAACCTCTCTGCCTTAAATAGTTATTTCTGCCATTTTTTCACTATCCTTGGGACAGCCCCAACAAGTCCATTTTGCTCACTCTATAACCTCCCAATGTAGAGTAAATCGCGATTCAACTTCAATTCACCCTTAAAAAAACGCAATGACCTAACAAAGGAGAATTTTTTCTAAACTTCGGTCTTCTGTTCCTGTTCTTTCGTAGGTTATGTACTTCAGCAAGAAGAAAATCTATTTAGCCTCTTAATCTTTTTTTTTTTTTTTTAATTGAGGCTAGGATACAGACATGGACATCGTACTTAGAAATTCGCTTCTACTAAGTCAGATCCAAACATTCACAATCAAAGCATTCAATCAGCCTGAACGCTTCCTTGGGTACAGACCCTCCTCAGGATTCTCTGAAATCAGACTGAAAACTTCAGAAAGTTACAGTCTGGAGGCATTGAACCACACTCCTCACACCCAGGCTCAGAGATGGCCCTGCTCATTCAGAAGGACAGGACTAAGAAGTAGAGTGAAAAATTATCACCGTGTCCCACAGATTTAAAACTCTAACTTTTCCCTTGCACCAAACGCTGTTTGCAAAACACCGAAACATCCAGATGAAAAGTCAAATCTGCAGTCAGCCATTCTGATTTTTGTTCTACAAGACAACAAACATAGAGATACTTGTAATCATCAGAGAGGCTTATGATGTTTTTTGACATTGTTAATTTATGCTGTTTCTTTCATCTCGTCCACTTCTTTGCTTATGCGCTAGATAGTGATATATCAGCTTCCAATCCCTGTTGAGGCAGGGAGGGACTATCCGTCTTGAGTATCATGTGGGCCCTCTGATTTCCCTTTCCCCTTCCCTTTTGGTCAATACGGCAGGAAAAAGAAAGAAGAATTTTTATTCAAGCCAAAGGCTTTGCAATCTTGAGTTCCATTCTATAAAGGCCCGGGAAAGGGTGGAGCTTACTGACAAAAAAATGATAGCCTTGGCTAATCTGGGGATTTCAATTATTTATGATATTCCTTTTCTCCATTTTGAAAACAGACCACATAACATTTTACATGTTTTCTATCCTCTTCACCACCTCTCGTAAACGAGCAGGATTCTGTGCCATGGAAATTGTGTGATCTTTTCTTCTCAGTGCCCTTTTTGGAAAACATTATTTTGTCATATTTTAATTTAAGACATGTTTCTGAGTATTTGTTAGGCTTAGTTAAAATATCTGCGTGACCTTAGGACATATAAAGTGTATTCATAATCACACTGGAAAGCATTAGTTAAAACGTATGCAGTAAGAGCATACCCACTAGATCTGCTGTAAATCAGGACAGGCACACTCAAGACATCTTCCTAAATCATATAGTTTGAAGAAACTCTTTTGAAGTTCTTTCCTTTCTTTTTGTTGGTGTGTGTTTTTTTCTTTTCTTTTTTTGTGCTTTTCCAAGGTTAGAAAGCATGTCGTTCTTCTCCTTGCTTTTGGAAGAGCTTGGTGGTATGTGGATGGTAACTTTTGTTTCCTCATCAAGATATATCCTTATATGTGTATTTTAAAGGTAGTAGCCTACCTCCATAGCTGCAACCATCACATAGGAAAATTTATCCTTCAATATGTATCTCAGAGGAACACTATAACATTCAAGTTTCTATATTAGCTATTAAAGACGAACTGCTTGTCCTAGAGAAGCTTCCAGTGTGGGAAGAGTGGAATTCACGAACTGGCAAGAGAAGGATTTGAAGAGAGAGAACTTACAAGACAAGGGGAGGATGGCGTGTTTTTATTATAGTGGCTTTCGTAGGGAGCGCTTTTTCTAAGGCGAAATGCCTAAGACCTGAAGGAATCTCATCGCCAATGGGCTTCGGAGAGCCAAGGATTGCTTTTGCACTGAATATTGAGTTATATTTTTATAGCAGAAAACACACAGTTGATTACATTTCAGCTCAGAGTGCCTGAAATTAGGTGCGTGGCTCCCATTAGTAATAAGAACTGTGCACCCAATTCCCCGGATACTTCAATAATAATTTATCCTAAAAATTTAATTTATTTGAAGTCTATTATAAAACTAGACAGAGAGATAGGTTTTTCACAGTGTATGCTTGTGTAATGATTCACATTTGAATGAAAAGAGAAGTCAGGAGGAGGATTTGAGGAAAATATCAGCAGAGCAACTTAGACAAATCATCACTTATCTAGGTTACATGTATATTGCATGCACATTTCTAGGGTCTTGGTTTCTACAGGCAGTTGTACAAAATATAGTGCAAAAATTCTTACAGAGGATCTTAAAAGAACAATAACTGAAGAAATACACAATGGTAAATTATTAAAATCTGCTTTGCATTAACTGTTTTAGCTTAACGTGAAAGTCTCACCTTTACCTAAATTGAGATCAACGGAAGACAGATACCCTGTATACCGAAGATGGCACGTAACATAGCTAGCTATTCATTCCAGAGTTTTATTTTCATTTTGATTAATTACTCACTGGGCATGTAAGAATGTGTATGTGTGCACGCAGGAATGCTTATTAAAGTTCTCTCTTATCCCCTTTCTCTGAGATGCCCTTAGGGGAAATGTAAAAACGCAGAGCTTGAGATGGATATTAAAATAAAACAATAGTAGTTGCTGCTATTTTACGCAAAATTACACCACAATTTTATTCTTAAAAAAAAAAAGACGACCTTCTATCTTATCTTCTCTCTTCTTAAATGGAATAGCAAAAAACTCTTTTTGCAATACTGAATTAGTGTCAGCTTCATACACACACACACACACACACACACACACGCACACACGATAACTTGTTTTGGATCGAAAATTAATTCAGATACAGTAACCTGAACACAAAATAGTACCAGTGACAAAACCACAGTTGTTGTCATAGACTGTTAAGATGTATGCATGCCCTCTAAACTTCTGACATCATTTTAAAAACTTAATATATTGTCTTTGAATGAATAGCATCAAAAAGAAATATGCTCGTATAACTCAATTTCTCTGATGTAAAAATGTCGACATTCCTACATATTCGTATTTTATAATTATTTTGTAATTTATTTAGAAAGTCCTTTACTTCATGAAAACTTTTTGCTAAATTTTGTATTAAAATAAGAAACACAGCATCGACTAGGAGAAAGCAAAGAAATTCAGAGTTCAACCCATTAAGCCCAAAGAGTCAGGACCTTTGTGAATGACTTCCTCTAGGACACTGGATCTTCTGGACATGTTACTGTACACTCATCCTGAGGGGGACACTTAGCAGATTTTCTCTTGTAAATTCTTTTGTAGCTTCCTGGTAGAAGACACTTTCCATTTTATGGAAAGCCCTCAGAATATGGTTTTAAATGAATCTGTTCACAAGGTTCAAAGGCTTTAAATTGCTAGACCATGGTTACCATTTGAGAAAACGCATTGAGCTATATCAAGGAGAGAGAAAAAAGTAACCAGGTACAAGTTTAATTCTCTAAGGTTGACATGTAAGTGCTGATCAGAAAGGATTAAGACTTCCTGAGAACAAGAGAACTCCCCAACAAATCACTTCCAAACTGGGGAAAGCACGTGTGTGTGCACTCACACACACATACCACACCACACCATACACACTCTATAATCCATTGTGATCATTCTATCCCATCCTGGTAGAAAATTCTCTCTAGTCAAAATGCAGAGATTCTTTACTTTCGAATGTCCTCATTCATCTGATTTTCCAGAAAAAGAAAAGCCTGTAGAAATAGTATGAGAACCAAATTAATTATACTTTTTGGAATCATTTACCTACAGCTAATTCATGAAGGGTAATAGCATAAGTAATGGACTGCAAAGTGAACTGTAGCTTCGTGAAAGTAACTTATTTTGTCAAGACCAACCAGCTGCATATTTGAAGAAGCCTCTAAGACTGGAGACATTTTGGTTCCTGGGACTTACCTTCTCTTCTTTAAAGAAGTCTTTAGTTCTCTTGCTTGAACAGAAATTCTAAATCACTGTGTCTTAGAAGAGCAGGAAATCTAGAATAAAATAAATAAAACACATAAACTGGAAGAAAATTTGATAAGATGGTTTATATGAATAATTTTAGTTCTAATACTTTTTGAAAATTATCAGCTGTATTATAACAAGGGATTAGTATTGATTTATTACAGTTATACAGAAAAGATGATAAATAACCATAGGAACAATGTTTGCAGGCTACCCAAGCAGTGTGTTAAGCTGAGCTTTATTTTATGTGTTCACATAGAGTCTTTGCTTTTTTTCCAGTAGTTTAAAATGAATAAATTTATATGGCTATTTATCATTACAAAAAGTGAAATGTTGAAGAATTTACCTAAGCCCTGACACCTTTCTATCTTGTTTAAAGGCCCTCCCATACCTGTCCCTGTTGCAGATCCCAATGGCATGTTATAGGAATTAGATCAAGGTTATGTTGAAGATCTATAACGTATGTGTAGGGATAGACACACACATACACATACATACACGACACACACACAGCACGAGATAGCCTGGAATAGACTATCTTTATTCTCTTTCTTCTAATTAGATCTTAGGTTACGCTGTGCTCCTGGAGCCCAGGATTAGTTTCACTACAGTGTGAACTTACAAATATTTGCTTCTGGTAATATTGAAGAAAAAAAATACAGGAGTTTCCTATTTTTGCATGTCACTCAGTCATTTTAAACCACAGTCACAGCAAAAGTAAATCAATGCCTTGAGTTTCTCATTTTAGCAATTCAGCCTTTTGGAGTAGTTTCCAGTGTCAAACAGTGAGTCCCATTTTCTCTGTCCCCCTTCTTTCCCTGATCCTCACCTTACATTAAGAAACAAAAAACGAACACAAGAACACACAAACAACAACAACAACAAAAAACCATGGAGGATTTAGGAGAGGCAAAGAGAAGGAGTAAGAAATTACTTTTAGGTTTGAACCTTGTTGACTAAGAGATAATCAATATGATTATCAGAAAAATGGAAACTGGGAGAAAACTAGTTTTTCAGAAAGCTGGGCAGGGTGTGGTGGCATGAACGAAATTGGTGACTTGGGAAATTGAAAACTGTGAACAAGGACCGGAGAGGCTGATTGGGTGTTATAAGTAGGTGAGCACAAAAGATTAAATAGAAATCTAGGGAGATGGAGTAGAATAGGTATGTTCTAGACCTTGTTGGGAGGTTTCCATGATTTTCCCAGGAAACTCTGTGTAAGCCACTAACTGAGAAATAACCCAAGGTGGGAATTTGCTTTGCAAAAAACTGGAAAGTCAGGAAGGCACAGAAGATATGGGAAAGAGTAAAGGAGTAGATGACTTTGGAAACCGGACTGTGTTCAATTGATTGATTAAGCCCTTTCCTGCCTTTGTCCCTTCCTTCTCCCTCTCCTCTCCTCTCCCCTCTCCTCCCCTGCCCTCTTCTCCCCTCCCCTCCCCTGCCCTCTTCTGCCCTCCCCTCCCCTGCCCTCTTCTCCCCTCCCCTCCCCTGCCCTCTTCTCCCCTTCCCTCCCCTGCCCTCTTCTGCCCTCCCCTCCCCTGCCCTCTTCTGCCCTCCCCTCCCCTGCCCTCTTCTGCCCTCCCCTCCCCTGCCCTCTTCTCCCCTCCCCTCCCCTGCCCTCTTCTGCCCTCCCCTCCCCTGCCCTCTTCTGCCCTCCCCTCCCCTGCCCTCTTCTCCCCTCCCCTCCCCTGCCTTCCCCTCCCCTCCTATCGCCTCACCTCAGCCTCCCCTGCCCTCTTCTCCCCTTCCCTCCCCTTCCATCCCCTCCTGTCCCCTCCTCGTCTCCTCTCCTTTCGTTTCCATTTCTCCCTCCCTCCCTTCCCAACTTCCTCCTTCTCTTTCTTCAATTATTAATTTATTTAACTGATGTTTGCTGAGCACTTTTTATTCGTTTAAGCATTGTGCTAGGTACCAGACAGGGACAGGAAAGTGGCTCTAAGATAAAGCATCTGTGGAGGGAATGAGGTTACTTTCTGGGCTTTTTTCTTCATGATCATATCAGTGACAATCGTCTATCCCAGGCTATCTCGTGCATGTGTGTGTCATGTATGTATGTATATGTGCATATCTATCACTACAGATATGTTATAGTATCATTCATGTTTGTCTTCTCTTTTGCATTAATTCTTCTGATTTTTTCACACAGTGGGAACCTGAAGTAGGTTACTGCATATATGTCCTTGGTGTTTTTATTTAAAAAGCTTCCCACTACTTCAGACTGGCTGCTGTGTACCTAAGCATACTTTTTGCACCAGTGCTGCCATGGCACAGCAAACAACTGCTAGAGATGAACCCAATGAAGGGGCTTTCTACAAAACATCAAGGGGTAGTGGGAGAACAGATGCGACATCCTGACGCTGGAAGTGGTTTCCTGAGCAGGGAAAGGTGATTTAACTGGGGTGTGTGGCAATCCGTGCCCACAGATCAGTATTCCCCTACTGAAAGAAAAAATTTAAAAGTCTTTCAACCAAGAAAACAGGATTCAAACATCTTGAGGCGTTTGAGCCACCATGTCCTGGAAATAAAGCGATTGGTGGAGTGAACACTTTAGCTCCGGACCTCAGATGGCTCTTGAAAACCCAAGATTTTTGAGGCAGTGTTCTAGGGTTTCTAGAAAGTTGGATTCGAATTTCATCTTTTAGACTATGTTATTTTATGGCCGGGCGCAGGGGCTCACTCCTGTAATCCCAGCACTTTGGAAGGCCGGGGCGGGTGGATCACTTAAGGTCAGGAGTTCGAGACCAGCCTGGCCAACATGGAGAAACCTCATCTCTGCTGAAAATACAAAATTAGCCAGGCATGGTGGCGGGCGCCTATAATCCCAGCTACTCGGGAGCCTGAGGCAGGAGAATCACTTGAACCCGAGAGGCAGAGGTTGCAGTGAGTCAAGATTGCGCCACTGCATTCCAGCTTGGGCAACAAGAGTGAAACTCTGTCTCAAAAAAATAATCATAATAAAATAAAATACGTATTTTAGCTTCCTGCAGCTATTCAAGAAGTCTATAGCTCTGCATTGGTCTTGAACGCAAGTCTGTGCAGATCTTGCCACATGTAATTGTTGCAATGTAGGCCCTACTACAGCAGGGATGTCATAGGCTCGGTGAAGTGCCAGATGCTTTAAGTGCAGGATCTAAAACCAGACTGCCTGCGAACAGACTCTAACTCTGCCACAGAACAGCTATGTCAGTATAACCTTGAGCAAGACACTTAAATGGTCTATTCTTAATTACTGCCACTTTAAAATGGGCAGGAAATACCTTCTCAGGGGTTTGTTATGTGGATAAAATGAGTTAACATTTGTAAAGCACTTAAAAGAATACTAATACATTTAATAATAATTTGAAATCCTAAATTACAATTATTTATATTTATAAATAAAGATGAAATAATTTTGCCCTAGTTAGCGGAAATCATTGCTTTTTAGACCAGGAACAGAATCTTGCTTGGTAAGAAGAAGTTATCAATGAATCTTTGCCAATGGATGTTTGAAATTGGACTCAGAATGAAGCTAGTCATATTCTTCTAGAGCCAACTCACCTCTCAGTTAGCATAGACTATCTTGAGATGAACAATACAGGATGGAACAAATGTGTTGTGTGTTTGAAAGTACTTGAGCAAAATCACGCGAAGTAGAAAAAAGTATAATGAGAGGTGTTTGTTTGTTTGTTTTATCATTAGAGTAGTTAAAATTTGGCCCAGGCACAGTGGCATGCACCTGTAATCCCAGCTACTTGGGAGGCTAACGTGGGAGGATGGCTTGAGCCTAAGAGTTTGAGGCTGCAGTGAGCTATGATGGCACCACTGCATTCCAGCCTGGGTGACAAAGAGGGACCCTGTCTCTAAAAATAAAAATAAAAAATTTTCTTAAATCCTCAGTGTCGTTACGTAGGAATATGTCCTATGCTCCTCACCAAGTTTCAATTTTACCTTCAAACAAATCACAGTGAGCATAACAGTAAGATGCCGATGCTTCCTGTGTAAATTCACTAGCTAAACACCATAGGAAAAAATGTATGAAAACAACATTTAAATGTGCCAATACAAACAAACAAATAACATAATTCAAAGAAAGTTGCTGCCTTGCCCTTGGGGTGGTAACTCGCTCCTGCAGATAAATGATTAAACTTTATTCTGCTGATACTGAACAACTATCTCCTAGGAAAATACATTTGATATAGAAGTTTGGTGATATGATCCAAAGAATCTAAAACTGTACTTACAATATATTTGATAAAGAAGTTTGGCCAGGCATGGTGGCTCACGCCTGTAATCCCAGCACTTTGGGAGGCCGAAGCGGGTGGATCACTTGAGGTCAGGGGTTTGAGACCAGCCCGGCCAACCTGGTGAAACCCGTCTCTACTAAAAATACAAAAATTAGCTGTTCATGGTGGCACATGCCTGTAAGTCCCAGCTACTCAGGAGCCCGAGGCAGGAGAATTGCTTGAACCCAGGAGATGGAGGTTGCAGTGGGCTGAGATTGCACCACTGCACTCCAGCCTGGGAAACAGAGTGAGACTCCGTGTCACAAAAAAAAAAAAATAAAAGGAGTTTGGATTGGAGGGGGAGAGAGTATGAATTATTCACAGTTTAACAGAATGAGAGTACATCTATATAGAACTCCATTATTTTTATTTTTTTCCATCCTGTTAGTATAAATGGATATAAGGAAGATTCATACTTTTTAAAAAGTATATAACACACAAGAGGAAGGCACAGTTTAAGAGTTTAGGGCAGTTTTCAACACACCATGAAATAAGCTGGCAAAAATACACTGAGATCTGTTGACTGTCAAAACCATTTCAAAAAGTAAATTGAGTTTGTTATAAAAAAAATCAGCAAGATAAATTAGTTTAATAAAGTTGTGGCTGAGAAGTATTTAAGTAATTTTTTTATCAGGAAAATTAATAACTTTTTTAGGGGCTCACTTGCCATTTTAACACTAGACTAACACATGAAGAAAGCAAGAGTAGCGGTTCCTATAAAAAGTGTTTCCAAAATGTGTGCGAGTGGTCTTTGCATGCTGCAGAGATAACACTAGATGATCGAAATGCCACATTCTTTGAAAAGTGTTTGTAATATTTATTCATTCCATTGTTTAGCAAATATGATTTGTGCATATTATGTGTCATTTTGGGTTTGGGGGATATAAAGCCAGGCACAGCCTTTGCCCTCATGTAGTGAGACAGACATTAGATTATCGGCCGGGTGCGGTGGTTCACGCCTGTAATCCTAGCACTTTGGGATGCCAAGGTGGGCGGATCACCTGAGGTCAGGAGTTCCAGACCAGCCTGGCCAACGTGGTGAAAACCCGTCTCTACTAAAAATACAAAAATTAGCCGGGCATGGTGGCGGGCGCCTGTAATCCCAGCTACTTGGGAGGCTGAGGCAGGAGAATCACTTGAACCTGGGAGGTGGAGGTTGCAGTAAGCAGAGATCATGCATTGCACTCCAGCCTGGGCGATAGAGCAAGACTCCATCTTGAAAAAAAAAATCAGATTATCACACACAGATGCAGTTGTAACATACAACAACTACGTGCTGTAGGACCACAGCACAGAAGGACCAAGGGACCCAGTGAAGGCTCCTTGAGGAAGTGGCATTTCTAACAGATCTGGAAGTTGGGATTTATCTAGGTTGGATGGAGCAAGAGTGAGATGCTGGGATGGAGAATCTTCCAGAAGGAAGGGAGAGCCTGCACAAGACCCCGTGATAGAAGGGAGAATGGTGAGTTTGAGGAGGTGAGAGAAGTCCAGTTTTGGGGCTCAGAGCCATTGACTTGGTGGTGTAGCAGGAGGTTGGGTGTCAAAGGGACTGAACTAAGCAGTGTGTGGTGGGGCATATTAGGATTTTGATTTTCATCCTGAGAACAATGGAAACCTTTGGAGGGATTTAAGCAGGAGACATCGTCATCATGTTTGTGTTTTGAGAGTATTACTCTGACTGCAGTTTGGAAAAGTGATTGAAAAAGGACGGAAAGCTTAGTGGGAACTATTTCAACAGCCACAGCAGCAGCAAGAGAACTGCTGATACAACAGTTGCCAATGAGCATCTAAAACCCCCACATTAAAAAGGCTCGAGTGAAATTTAGGAGGTGAGATTAATGACACTAGCCAATAGATAATGTCATATGCATGTCAAACAGGCAGAATTTTTAGAGTTTTGTTAATTCTATTGGTAGGGAGTTCCAGAATTCCTGTTTTCATAAATTCTAATGTTTCAAAAACTGAAGTTTGTTGCATGTTCTGAAGATAAATGCTACAATTAAAATGGCAAGTGAGACCAAAAAATGCTATTAATTGTACTGATTACAATAACATTACTTAAATACTTCTCAACTTCACTGATCGAATTTGTTTATCCTGCTGGTATTTTTAATAATAAGCTCAATTTGCTGATTTAAACTGTGTTGCCATGCTTTCACTGGCATGTCAAGAAGCAGTGATGAAATTTAAACTTTGGACTCAACATGTAAGACAAAAATCATTTAAATAACAAATCAAACTTTGAATTATTTCTGATAGAAACAAACCTTCAGGTATGGTGGGATTTGAGACCTTACAAAATGACTGTTTAGAATATCTCACAATGTTAAAAGATGCATTTGGAAAAGGAACGAACAAAACCCCCAAGAACCATGAGACTATGTAAAAGACTGAACCTAAGACTGATTGGGGTACCTGAAAGGGATGGGGAGAATGGAACCAAGCTGGAAAACACACTTCAGGGTATCACCCAGGAGAACTTCCCCAACCTAACAAGACAGGCCAACATTGAACTCAGGAAATCCAGAGAATCCCAATAAGATATTCCATGAGAAGATCAACCCCAAGACACATAATCCTCAGATTCTCCAAGGTTGAAATGAAGGAAAAAATGTTAAGGGGAGCCAGAAAGAAAGTCCAGGTCACCTACAAAGGAAAGCCCATTAGACTAACAGTGGACCTTTCAGCAGAAACCCTACAAGCTGGAAGATATTGGGGGCTGATATTCAACATTCTTAAAGAAAATAATTTCCAACCCAAAATTTCATATCTGGCCAAACTAAGCTTCGTAAGCAAAGGAGAAACAAAACCTTTCCAGACAACCAAATGCCGAGGGAATTCATCACCACCAGGCCTGCCTTACAAGAGCTCCTGAAGGAAGCACTAAATATGGAATGGAAAAACTTACCAGCCACTACAAAAATACACTGAAGTACACAGACCAGTGACACACTATGAAGCAACTACATCAACAAATCTGCAAAATAACCAGCTAGCATCATCATGACAGGATCAAATTCATACATAACAATATTAACCTTAAATGCAAGTGGGCTAAATGCCCCAAGTAAAAGACACAGAATGGCAAGCTGGATATAGCCAAGACCCATTAGTGTGCTGTAGTCAAGAGACCTATTGATATGGTTTGGCTGTGTCCCCACCCAAATCTCACTTTAAATTGTAGTAATCACTGTGTGTTAAGGGTGGGGCCAGGTAGAGATAATTGAATCATGGGAGTGGCCTCCCCCATGCTGTTCTTGTCGTAGTAAGTCTCATGAGATCTTATGGTTTTATAAATGGAAGTTCCCTTGTATGATTGCCTTGCTGCCATGTACAACACGCCTTGGCTTCTCCTTTGCCTTCCACCACTTGTGAGTCCTCCCCAGCCACGTGGAACTGTGAGTACATTTGACCTCTTTCCTTTAAACATTACCCAGTCTGGGGTGTGTCTTTATTAGCAGTGTGAGAACAGACTAATACATCCATCTCACAGGCAAAGACACATATAGGCTTAAAAGAAAGGGATAGAGGAAAATTTACCAAGCAAATGAAAAGCAGAAAAATGCAAGTGCTGCAATCCTAGTCTTTGGCAAAACGGACTTTAAACCAACAAAGATCAAAAAAGACAAAGAAGGGCATTACAGAATGGTAAAAGGTTCAATGCAACAAGAAGAGCTAATTATCCTAAATACATATGCACCCAATACAAAAGCACCCAGCTTCATAAAACAGGTTCTTAGAGACATGCAAAGAGATATAGACTCCCACACAATAATAGTGGGAGACTTTAGCACCCCACTGTCAATATTACACAGATCATTGAGACAGAAAAGTAACAAAGATATTCAAGACTTGAACTCAGCTCTGGATCAAGTGGACCTGATAGATATCTACAGAACTCTCCCTCGAAAAACAACAGAATATACATTCTCCTCAGTGCCAAATGACACCCTAAAATCTTTCACATAATTGGATGTAAAACACTCCTCAGCAAATGCAAAAGAACTGAAATCATAACAGTGTCTCAGATCACAGCACAATCAACTTAGAACTCAAGATTAAGAAACTCACTCAAAACCACACAACTATATGGAAAGTGAACAACTTGCTCCTGAATGGCTCCTGGGTAAATAGCAAAATTAAGGCAGAAATCAAGAAGTTCTTTGAAACCAATGAAAACAAAGAGACAACATACTAGAATCTCTGGGATGCAGCTAAAGAAGTAGTAAGAGGGAAATTTATAGCACTAAATGTCCACATCAAAAAGCTAGAAAGATCTCAAGTCAACATCCAAACATCAAAACTAAAAGAACTAGAGAACCAAGAACAAACAAACCCCAAAGCTAGCAGAAGACAAGAAATAATCAAGATTAGAGTGGAACTAAAGGAGACAGACATGCAAAAAAAAACCTTCAAAAATCAACAAATCCTGGACTTTTTTTTTGAAAAAATTAATAAAATAGATAGAACTCTAGCTAGACTAATAAAGAAGAAAAGAGTGAAGACTCAAACACAATAAAAAATGATAAAGGGGACATCATCACTGACCCCACAGAAATATAACCATCAGAGAATACTATAAACATCTCTATGCAAATAAACTAGAAAATCTAGAAGAAACAGACAAATTCATGGACACATACACCTCCCAAGACAGAATCAGGCAGAAGTTGAATCCCTGAATAGACCAATAACAAGTTATCAAATTGAGGCAGTAATAAATAGTCTATTAACCATAAAAATCCAGGACCAGATAGATTTACAACTGAATTCTACCAGAGGTACAAATAGGAGCTGGTACCATTTCCTCTAAAACTATTCCAAACAATTGAAAAAGAGAGACTCCTTCCTAAATGCATTTTATAAGGCCAGCATCATTCTGATACCAAAACCTGACAGAGATACATCAACAACAAAAAAACTTCAGGCCAATATCCCCGATGAACATCGATGCAAAAGTCCTCCATAAAATACTGGCAAACCAAATCCAGCAGCACTTCAAAAAGCTCATCCACCATGATCAAGTTGGCTTCATCCCCAGATGAAAGGATCGTTCAACATATGCAAATCAATAAATGTAATTCATCATATAAACAGAACCAAAGTCAAAAAACCACATGATTATCTCAATAAATGTAGAAAAAGCCTTTGATAAAATTCAACATTCCTTCATATTAAAAACTCAATAAACTAGGTATTGAAGTAACATACCTCCAAATAGTGAGAGCCATTTATGACAAACCCACAGCCAACATCATACTGAATGGGCAAAAGCTGGAAGCATTCCACTTGAAAACTGGGACAAGACAAGGATACCCTCTCTCACCACTCCTATTCAACATAGTATTGGAAGTTCTGCCTAGGGCAATCAGGCAAGAGAAAAAATAAAGGGTGTTCAGATAGGAAGAGGGGAAGTCAAACTGTGTCTGTTTGCAGATGACATGATCCTATATCTAGAAAACCCCATCGTCTGAGCCCAAAAGCTTCTTAAGCTAATAAGCAACTTTAGCAAAGTCTCAGGATACAAAATCAATGTGCAAAAATCCCAAGCATTCCTACACATCAGCAATATACAAGTACAGAGCCAAATCATAAATGAACTCCTATGCACAATTGCTACAAAGAGAATAAAATACCTAGGAATACAGCTAACAAGGGAGGTAAAGGACCTCTTCAAGGAGAACTATAAAACACTGCTCAAGGAAATCAGAGAGGAAACACACAACTGGAAAAACATTCCATCTTCATGGATAGGAAGAATCAACATCATGAAAATGGCCACACTGCCCAAAGCAATATATAGATTCAATACTATTCCAATCAAACTACCATTGATATTCTTCACAGAATTAGAAAAACTACTTTAAAATTCATGTGGAACCTAAAAAGACCCCATATAGCCAAGACAATCTTGAGCAAAAAGAGCAAAGCTGGAAGCATCATGCCCCTGACTTCAAACTACACTGCAACGCTACAGTAACCAAAACAGCATGGTACTGGTACAAAAACAGATACATAGACCAAAGGAACAGAAAAGAGAACTCAGAAATAGGGCCACATGTCTACAACCATCTGATTTTCAACAAACGTGATAAAAACAAATAATGGAGAAATAATTCCCTATTTAATAAATGGTGCTGAGAGAACTGCCTAGCCATATGCAGAAAATCAATACTGGACCCCTTCCTTACACCTTATAGAAAAATTAACTCAAGATGCATTAAAGACTTAAATGGAAAACCCAAAACTATAAAAATCCTAGAAGAAAATCTGGGAAATACCATTCAGGACATAGGCATAGGCAAAGATTTCATGACATAAATGTCAAAGGCAATTGCAACAAAAGCAAAAATTGACAAATGCAATCTAATTAAACTAAAGAGCTTCTGCACAGCAAAAGAAACTATCATCAGAGCAAAGAGGAAACCTACAGAGTGGGAGAAAATTTTTGCAATATCCACCTGACAAAGGTCTAATTCCCAGAATTTACAAGGAATTTAAACAAATTTACAAGAAAAACCAAACAACCCCATTAAAACGTGGGCGAAGGACATGAACAGACAATTATCAAAAGAACACATATTTATGTGCCCAATAAACATATAAAAAAACGCTCAACGTCACTGATCATTAGAGTAATGCATATCAAAACCACAATGAGATAGCATCTCACCTAGTCAGGATGGCAATTATTAAAAAGTCAGGAAACAACAGATGCTTTTACACTGTCAGTGGGAATGTAAATTTGTTCAACCATTGTGGAAGACAGTGTGGCTATTCCTCAAAGACCTAGAACCAGAAATACCACTTGACCCAGCAATTCCATTATTGGGTATATACTTAAAGAAACATAAATCATCCTATTATAAAGATACATGCACAGGTATGTTCACTGCAGCACTTTTCCCAATAGCAAAAACATGGAATCAACCCAAATGTCCATCAATGATAGACTGGATAAAGAGAATGTTTTACAGATACACCATGGAATTCTATGGAGTCATGAAAAGGAACAACATCATGTCTTTTGCAGGACAGGGATGGAGCTGGAAGCCATTATCCTCAGCAAACTAATGCAGGGACAGAAAACCAAACACTGCATGTTCTCACTTATAAGTGAGAGCTGAACAATGAGAACACATGAACACAGGGAGGGAAACACAAAACACTGGGGCCTGTCATGGGGTGGGGTGGGGGGAGAGAGAGCATTAGGAAAAATAGCTAATGCATGCTGGGCTAAATACATAGGTAACGGGTTGATAGGTGCAGGAAACCACTGTGGCACACGTTTACCTATGTAACAAACCTGCACATCCTGCACATGTATCTTGTAAATTGAAGTAAAATACAACAACAACAACAACAACAACAACAAAGATGCATTGATTGAACATAGGACAACAGACCAAAAAAAAAAAAGAAAAAAAGGAGAGAGATGCATGCAGAAGGTGCTTTCGGCCAAAAAATGAAGACTTCAGTTATATGTGAAACATGTTAACTCTCTCCAACCTGAATATTTATTCAATATAAAGAATGTTAGCAGTTGTTGGATATTGTGAATGATCCAACTAATTTTCTACTACTTATATCTGAAGTTTTGTTAGTTTGATACTAATTTAAAAAAATTAAACATATTCAATTTCAATTTATTTTATTTTTACATTTCTTCATATGAATACAAGGATAATACAAATACTTTTACAATGTTTCATGTGCATCTATCTCCTAGTTATATTAATAAAGCAACAGTTTGTTTTATAAATCAGTTACATCAAGATTCAACTACTCTTACATCAGACAAAATAGATTTCAAGACAAAAAGTATAAGAAGACAAAGAAAATCACTATATGATGACAAAGGGGTCCATTCAGCAAGAGGATATAACAATTTTAAATATATATGCACCCAACGTTGGATGACCCACATACATAAAGCAAATATTGATAGAGCTAAAGAGAGAGATAGGCCCTAATACAATAATAGCTGGAGACTTCAATACTCCACTTTCAGCATTGACAGATGTTCCAAACTGAAAATCAAAAAGAAAACATTGGACTTGATATAGTTTGGATGTGTGTCCTTGCCCAAATCTGGTATTGAAATGTATTTCCCAGTGTTGGAGGTGGGGGCCTGGTGAGAGGTGATTGGATCATGGAGCAAGAGGGGGAAATGTTAAACCATTCATGAGAACCCCCTGATCTCATGAATGGTTTAGTACCTCCCCTGCTTGTTCTCTTGATCCTGCTTTTGCCATGTGATGTGCAAATTCCCGCTTCACCAGCTGCCATGATTGTAAGCTTCCTGAGTTCTCTGCAGAAGCTGATGCCAGACGTTTGCTTCCTGTACATATTGCAGAATTGTGAGCCAATTAAAGTGCTTTTCTTATAAATTGCCCAGTCTCAGGTATTATTTATTCAGCAACGTGAAAATCGACTAATACAGTACTTAATCTGCACTATAGACTAAATGGACCTAACAGATATTTATAGAACATTTCATCCAATGATTGCAGGATACACATTCTTATCCTCAGCACATGGATCTTTCTCATGGATAGACCACATGTTAAGTCAGAAAACAAGTCTTAAAATATTTAAAAAATTGAAATAATATCAAGCATCTTCTCCAAACACATGGAATAAAACTAGAAATCAATAACAAGAGGAATTTCAGAAAACATACAAATACAAGCAAATTAAACAATATGCTCCTGAATGACCAGTGGGTCAATGAAGAAATTAAGAAGAAAACTGGAAAATTTCTTGAAACAAATGATAGTGGAAACACAACATACCAAAACCAGTGAGAAACAGCAAAAGCAGTGTTAAGAAGAAGTTTATAGTCATAAGTGCCTACATCAAAAAAGAAGAAAAACTGCAAATAAACAACCCAGTGATGCATCTTAATGAATTAGAAAAGCAAGAGTAAGCCAAACCCCAAATTAATAGAAGAAAATAAATAATAAATGAGATTGAAGTGAAGAAAGCAATACAAAAGATAATGAAACAACCAGTTGGTTTTTTGAAAAGTTAAGCAAAATTGACAAGCCTTTATCCAGACTAAGAAAAACAGAGAAGATCCAAATAAATAAAAGCAGAGATGAAAAAGGAGACATTACAACTGATTTCACAGAAATTCAAAGTATCATTAGTGCTACTATGAGCAAGTATATACCAATAAACTGGAACATCTAGAAGAAATGGACAAATTCTTAGACACATACAACCTACCAAGATTTAACCATGAGGAAATCCGAAACTGGAACAAATCAATAACAAGTAATGAGATCAAAGCCGTGATAAAAAGTCTTCCTGTAAAGAAAAGCCTAGGACCCAATAGCTTCACTGCTGAATTCTACCAAACATTTAAAGAAGAAGTAATATCAATCCTATTCAAACTCTTCCAAAAAGTAAAGGAGTAGACAATGCTTCCTAACAAATTCTACAAGGCAATTATTACCCTGATATCAAAACAAGACAAAACCACATCAAACAAACAAACCCAACTACAGGCCAATATCTCTGATGAATATTGATGCAAAAATCATCACCAGAATACTAGCAAACTGAATTCAACAATAAATTTAAAAGATTATTCATTCTGAACAAGTGGGATTTATCTCTGTGATGCAAGGATGGCTCAGCATATGCACATCAATCATTGTGATACATCATATTGACAAAATGAAGGACAAAAAATATGATTATTTCAACCGATGCTTAAAAAGCATTTGATGAAATTTGACATCCCTTCATGATAAAAACCCTAAAGTAACTGGGGACAGAAGGAACATGCATAATAAAAGCCATATATGACACACCCACAGCGAGTATTATACTGAATAGAAAAAAAAAAGGAAAGCCTTTCCTCTAAGGTCTAGAATGGAACCAGGATGCCCATTTTCATCACTGTTATTCAATATAGTACTGCAAATCCTAGCTAGAGCAATCAGACAAGAGGAAAAAAAAGGGCATTCAAATTGGAAAGAAGAAGTCAAATTATCCTTGTTTGCGGATGATATGATTTTATATTTGGAAAAACCTAAAGACTCCATAAAAAACTATTAGAACTGATACACAAATCCAGTTAAGTTGCAGGATACAAAATCAACATACAAAAATCAGTAGCACTTCTATATGCCAACGGTGAGCAATCTGAAGAGAAATCAAAAAAGTAATCCCATTTACAATAGCCATCAATAAAATTAAAGTAATCCCATTTACAATAGCCATTTACAATAGCCATCAATAAAATTAAATACCTAAGAAGATCTCTATAATGAAAACTATAAACTGCTGATGAAAGAAATTAAAGAGGGAACCAAAAAAATTCTTCCACCATGGATTGGAAGAATCGATATTGTTAAAATGTCCACCCTACCCAAAGCAATCTATAGATTCAATGCAATCCCTATCAAAATAATGACATTCTTCACAGAAATATAAAAAACAATCCTAAAATTTATATGGAATCACAAAAGACCCAGAAGAGCAAAAGCTATCCTAAGCAAAGAGAATAAAACTGAAGGAATTATATTACCTGACTTCAAATTATACTGCAGAGTTATAGTAACCAAAACAGCATGGTACTGGCATAAAAACAGACACATTGATCAAATGGAACAGAGTAAAGAACCCAGAAACAAATCCACACACCTCCAGTAAACCATTTTCAACCAAGGTGCCAAAAACATACATTGGGGAAAAGATTCTCTCCTCAATAAATAGTGCTGGGAAAACTGGCTATCCATATGCAGAAGAATGAAACTTGATCCCTCTCTCTCACCATATACAAAAATCAAATAAAAATGGATTAAAGACATAATCTAAGACCTCAAACTATGAAACTACTACAGGAAAACACTGAGGAAACTCTATAGGACATTGGTGTGGGCAAATATTTCTTGGGTAATACCCCACGAGCACAGGCAACCAAAGCAAAAACAGATAAATGGGATCACATCAAGTTAAAAAGCTTTTGTACAGCAAAGGAAACTATCAATAAAGTGAAGAGACAACCCACAGAATGGGTGAATATATTAGTAAACTACTCATCTGACAAGGAATTCATGATCGGAATATATAAGGAGCTCAAACAACTATATAGAAAAAAATCTAACAATCCAATTAAAAATGGGCAAAAGATTTGAACAGACATTTCTCAAAGGAAGACTTACAAATGGCACCAACCCAAATGTCCATCAATGATAGAGTGGATTAAGAAAATGTGGCACATATACACCATGGAGCACTATGCAGCCATAAAAAAGGATGAGCTCATGTCTTTGCAGGGACATGGATGAAGCTGGAAACCACATTCTCAGTAAACTGTCACAAGGACAGAAAACCAAACACCACATGTTCTCACTCATAGGTGGGAGTTGAACAATGAGAACACACGGACACAGGGTGGGGAATATCATACACCAGGGCCTGTCAGGAGGTGGGGGACTGGGAGAGGGATAGCATTAGGAGAAATACCTAATGTAAATGACGAGTTGATGGGTGCAGCAAACTGACATGGCACATGTCTACCTATGTAACAAACCTGCACATTGTGCACATGTACCCTAGAAGTTAAAGTATAATAAAAAAAATTAAAAAAGAAGACTTATAATGGCAAACAGGCCTATGAAAAGGTGCTCAGCTTCATTGATCATCATAGAAATGCAGATCAAAACTAAAATGAGATATCATTTTACCCCAGCAAAAAATGGCTTATATCCAAAAGACAGGCAATAACAAATACTTGCGAGAATGTGGAGAAAAGGGAACCCTTGTAAACTGTTGGTGGGAATGTAAATTAGTACAATTATTATGGAGAACAGTTTGGAACTGCCTCAAAAAACTAAAAATGGAGCTACTATATGAAAACTATAAAATTCCACTGCTGGGTGTATACCCAAAAGAAAAGAAATCAGTATATCAAAGAGATACCTGCACTCCCATATTTTTTATGTACAGCAGTGTTCACAATAGCCAAGGTTTGGAAGCAACCTTCCAAAGCTGTTGATGTGTCCATCCTCAGATGAATGGATACAGAAAATGTGGTACATACACACAATGGAATACTATTCAACCATAAAAAGAATGAAATCCTAGCCAGGCGTGGTGGCTCACGCCTGTAATCACAGCACTTTGGGAGGCTGAGGCAGGCGGATCACGAGGTCAGGAGATCGAGACCATCTTGGCCAACACAGTGAAACCCCATCTCTACTAAAAATACAAAAAATTAGCCGGGCGTGGTGGTGGGCGCCTGTAGTCCCAGCTACTGGGGAGGCTGAGCCAGGAGAATGGCGTGAACCCGCAAGGCGGAGCTTGCAGTGAGCCGAGGTCGCGCCACTGCACTCCAGCCTGGGCAACAAAGCAAGACTCCATCTCAAAAAAAAAAAAAAAAAAAAAAAAAATGAAATCCTGTCATTTGCAACAACATGGATGGAACTGGAGGTCATTATGTTAAGTGAAATAAGCCAGGCACAGAAGCACAAGCAGTGCATGTTCTCACTTTTTTTTTGTGGGATCTAAAAATCAAAAAGATTGAACTTATGGAGATAGAGAGTAGAAGGATGGTTACCAGACGCTGGGAGGGTGGTAGCTGGGTCAGGGGGAGGTGGGGATGGTTAATGGCAAAAAAATCATTCGAAAGAATGAATAAGACCTAGTACATGATAGCACAACAGGGTGACTGTAACAATAATAATTGTACATTTTAAAATAACGAGTATAATTGGATTGTTTGTGACACAAAGACACAAATGCTTGAGGGGATGGATACCCCATTTTGATGTGACGATCATCCACTGCATGTCTGTATCAAAACATCTCCAGGACCCCATGAATATATACACCTGCTATGTACCCACATAAATTAAAATAATACATTTTTAAAAAGATTCAGCTACCTTGTTTTTGAAAGAAGACTGAGTATAAAGAAATATACCATAAATCATTTTTAAAAAATACAGATTATAAATAAATACTGCATACATAAATATGTAAACAAACAACCAACCAGATTTACCCATCCCCATAACAGGTAGTAAATATTTGACACTTTTCTAATATCACTTGAATTGCTCCAGTGTTTGTTTTATGGCCTTCCTCTTGACTGTCATCATTAAACTTTTGCTGGATGGGTGTATTTAGTGTAGACATTCTAAAATTTTCACTTTCTTGTAAACAAAACAAATACAAAACAATGTATGACTTTTTGTTTTTTGGTAATAAAGCTTCTTAAGAAAAAATATTTTTTCTTCAAATTCTTGATTTTGCATTTTCTTTCTGACCAGTAGTTAATCTTTTGAATGTTGTTTTTTCCCCCAAATCTATATTTTTACATTCAATATTTTTCTTCATTGTTAACAACACATTTAAAAACTGAAATATATAATCATGAGTGCATTATTGCAATGTTCTCTTACAGCGGAATGAAATAGCTTGACACTAAAATGGCAGTAAGGAATTTGTCCCCTCAAGAGAAAGTCCCTTTATTTTACATCCATATAACTACATGACTTCCATGGGTCCTGGAATTCTTCTAAATTATTTTATTATTAATACATCATATTTATGAGAGTATGACAACCAGTGGATTACAGCTATAATGGATTTTGGTACAGATGATATATTACCCTACTACAAATTATATGAGCAAAATTGATCTTTGATCTTTAAAACTAAACTTCCTTTGTGGTATATTGTTCACAAAATACTCCCCTGGCAGGAAGTGTTTAAAACAAACACGCAAACAAATGAACAAACCTTTTTGCCAGATTCCAGGTAGCACCTGCTGAGATACAATTTTCCATGCACAGGGGGCCAGTGATCAGTGGCGTACACTTCAGCTCACTGCTGTCATAAACCAGGAGGGGTCGGTCAGAAATTCCTCCCTATGATATAATCTATGTTCAAAATTTGTCTGGTAATCAGAGTACTTATATCTTTTTTGACCAAAATACCCCAAATTTGTCTGTTCCAGGAGGAGAGGAAAAAACCTATGATAATTATAGTGAGGCAACTCAAAAGCAAATGGTTTCAAGTCAGTATTTACCCTCTAGACGTATTCTCAGATTCATCAAGCTTTAACAAATATAAAAGATGTAAAAATATATAGCAGCAACCCAAACTCCCAAGTGTCTTATATCAAAGCTGTTAAGTATTTTTACATGCCTTCGTGATGTGTGGAGTGGATCATTGGTATTGGTAAGTGGAGGTTTGGAAAAAAGAAAGTTTAAAAGAGGAATGTTTTCTTAAATAAATGGAAGCCAAGAATAACGTTCATGCCATGCTCTAACTGCCATTTCAAAGCTCTACATAAGCTAAAACAAATAAACCAACCCCGTCTTGTTGACCTAGATTACTGCTTAAACAAAGGTACATATTCTTAATTTACATGAAAAGCAATTAGGTCTGCTGCTGACAGCACTGTGGAAAACGCATCTGCTCAGGGCAAGCTTTTATATTTGAAAAAAATAAGCTGGAAGGCGTTTTTTCTCCCTCCTCAGCCCCTATCCACTTTAGGCCAGAAATGCTATTAAAATTTTTAAACTGGTTTGGGTGGTGGATTATAATTACTGTTATACATTTTTAAGTATGCTTAAAAATTATTTTCTGATTTCAGCCCAAAATCTGACATTTCATGATGTTGTTTGGTATTTAAGAAATGGCTAGGAAATGATATACTATTTTTCCCTCTCTGGAACGCGTTGTGAGCGAGCTAGACTTTAAAAATACAAAAGAAAAAAATAAATTGGGAAAATTACGGCAGGAATATTTATGTTAAAATATGAATTTGTTAAGCTAAATATATTTTTAGAGTCTGGGTATCTTTCTTAGACTTAGGTGTTTACCAAGACAGTAAATGTCTCTTTTCTTTTTGGATTTTTTTTTTTTTTTTTATTCAGGGGATACATGTGCAGGTTTGTTACATGGGCATATTGTGTGATGCTGAGGTTTGGATCTCCTAATGAACGCATCACCTCAGTGGTGAACATAGTGCCTCACAGGTCTTCAGCTCTTTCCCCACTTCCCTCCTTTTAACATGCCCAGTGTCTGTTGTTTCCATTTGTGTGTCCATGTATACCCAATGCTTCCACTTATAAGTGAGAACATGCAGTATTTGATTTTCTGTTTCACATTAGTCCACTTAGAATAATGGCCTCTTGCTGCATCCACATTGCTGCAAAGGACATAATTTCATTCTGTTTGTGGCTGCATAGCATTCCATGGTGTATATGTACCACATTTTTTTTTTTTTTATCCAATCCACCATTGATGGGCACCAAGATTGATTCCATGATTTTCTTATTGTGAACAAACAAACATGTGGCTATAAACATACGAGTGCAGAACAATTTGGTGGAACAATCTATTTCCTGTGAGTATATACCCAGTAATGGAACTACTGGGTCAAATGGTAGCTCTGTTTTTAGTTCTTTGAGAAATTTCCAAACTGCCTTCCAGAGGGGCTGAACTAGTTCACATTTCCACTAACAATGTATAAGGATTCCTATTCTCTGCAGCCTTGCCAGTATATGTTATTTTTTGACTTTTAATAACTGGAAGTTTTTTTCTGATTAGAAAGGTGATACATGCTTTTTTCAATAAGTAAATATTGAAGAGAGAAAGTACAAGATTGACTACTATTTACACTTTGATATTACATTTTCCTACTTAAATTTATTCATTCATTTGTTTATTCATCAAATATTGGGCACCACCAATTTCTAGAACATTCTTAGATGAAAGGGATACAGTGATATGCAAGGCTAGCTTCATTCTTGCACTCACAGGGCAAGAAGTCTAGAGGACCTTTAAACCAATGGACAAATATATCTTTATAAATTTTGATAAATTCTTTAATGGTAAAGAATGATGTTCTATGGAAGGATATACTAGAGGGTCTTTTATAATCTTGGGTGTATTTTAAAGTTTTCTGGGGGGGATTTGAGTGAAATATGACTAATCAGTAGAAGCATTTAGGTGAAGTGAGAAAGAGGAGAGGGAGAGGGAAGGATACGCAAAGGCCCAGGATGGGAGGCTGTGATGTGATCAGAAACTGGCAGGAACTATTCACAGTAGCAAAGACATGGAATCACCATAGGTGCCCAGTAGATTGAATAAAGAAACTGTGGTACATATACAGTGTATATGTACATGGGATACTACACAGCCATGAAGAAGAACAATAGTATGTCCTTTACAGCCACATGGATGCCCCTGGAGGCTATTATTCTAAGTGAATTAATGCAGGAACAGAAAACCAAATACAGCATGTTCTCATAAGTGGGAGCTAAACATTGGGTACATATAAACATGAAGATGGGAATAGTAGACACTGGAGTGGGTTGAAAAAGTTCCTGTGGGGTACTGTGGTCACTATTTGGGTTATAGGTTCAACAGAAGCCCCAACCTCAGCATTGCACAATATACCCATGTAACAAACCTGCAGATGTACTCCCTGAATCTAGAGAAAATTTGAAAAAAAAATCCAGAGGGAGAAATAGCAATAATAAAATAAAATAAAAATAAGAAAGAAAACTGGCAGGACTGATTGGCAAGGAGGATGTGGTACCAGGTGAGGCTGGAGAGATGGGTAGGCTAAGCCTTGAGAGTGAGTGCAAAAATGAGTTTTGAGTATTGTCCTGGGAGTGATGGAAAACCACTGGAGGATTTTAAGTTGAGAAGTGATATGATTTCATTGAAATGCTTACTTTGAAAGATGACTTTTCTTTTTTATTTTTAAATGGACATAACAGTTGTATATATTTATCGGGTACCTAGAGATGTTGCAATATATATAATGTATAGTGATCAAATCAGGGTAATTAGCATATCCACCATCTCAAATCTTTCTCATTTCTTTGTGTTGGGAACATTCAATATCCTCCTTCTAGCTATGTGAAATGGTATATTATTGTTAACTACAGTCATCCTACAGAGCTATAGAGCACTACAACTTATTCCTCCTATCTAGTTGTAACTTTTTTATCCTTTAACCAATCTCTCTCTATTCCCCCTTTCCCCCAGATTACTTTTTTAAACTATTTTTTAATTTTTTTTTGAGACAGAGTCTGGCCCTGTTGCCCAGGCTGGAGTGCAATGGCGTGATCTCAGCTCACTGCAACCTCCGCCTCCTGGGTTCAAGCAATTCTCCTGCCTCAGCCTCCCAAGTAGCTGAGATTACAGGCTCCCACCACCACGCCCAGCTAATTTTTTGTATTTTTAGTAGAAATGGGGTTTCACCATGCTGGCCAGACTGGTCTCGAACTCCTGACCTCAAGGGATCTGGCCGCCTCAGCCTCCCAAAGTGCTGTGATTACAGGCATGAACCACAGCACCTGGCCCCAGATTACCCTTAAAACACAGCCAAATACGTTAAAGCTATTCCCAAAGCAGTTCGGTCTGTTGGCTCCCATGAAGACTGAGTCTTCCACAACCAAGTAGAAAAACCCAGCTAGGCACAGTGGCTCACGTCTGTAATCCCAGCACTTTGGGAGGCTGAGGCAGGCGGATCAGATTGCTTGACTGAACTCAGGAGTTTGAGACCAGACTGGGCAACGTGGAGAAACCTCGTCTCTACAAAAAAGTACAAAAATTAGCTGGATGTGGTGTCATGTGCCTGTAGTCCCAGCTACTTGGGAGGCTGAGGTGTGAGGATTGCTTAAGCCTGGAAGGTCAAGGTTGTAGTGAGCCAAGATTCAGCCTGGGAGACAGAGCAAGACCCTGTCTCAACAACAAGAACAACAACAACAACCCAAGTAAATATCTTTTTCCACACTAATTTTTCCAAGAGAAACGAGGTCAAGGCTACAGGTCAACTTTGGTTTGGAGGTTTCTCTTTGATGTTTACGTACTACTTTGGTTTTTACTTTTTCATAACAGAACTGATATGTATAAGCAAAATGTTGCAGTGGAAAACACTGGGAGAATTGGTCTCTGTGTTGAATTGAGGGGATTGGCATTAAACCTTAGAGAAGCGAAGACATCACACATATAGCAAAGGGAAAAATGTCTAATCCACAGCATTTCAGTAATTCCTGCACTGTAGGTCATGAGGAGCAGAGGACAAGAGGGAGCTTTGACCAGTGGCGCTGGGTGCAAAGAACCAGGCCACAAGCTGGTGGCAGGAAACAGCCAGCATGACTCAGAGGGGGCTTGATGTTTTCACATTCGGTTCACAGGAAACTTTGGGGGTTTCCAAATTGAGGGTGAGGTTGCTATCAGAAGTATGGCCATCAGATGCTGTGTAGCCAAAGAAAGACACAATATCCACTAAAGGGTTGGTCTTTGAGAGTGGCTTCAGAAATGGAAAGGGAAATGTTATTGCTCACCAGGTAACCAGCCCAGGCAATAGGACAGTGAACTCCAAATGCGGCCAAGCCAGGACCTTGTTTCATGGACACCTTGCTGAGATACAACTTCGACTTGTCTTGGTTTTGGTAATGCTGGGGGTAGTAGATGCTTGCACTGTGATCTGGACAGTGCCCCCTACTCATTGGATGATTCTGGGAAACTCCCTTAGTCTTTTAAAGCCACTGTTTTCTTTACTATGAAAGTAGGAGTACAATCCTTGCAGGGTTACTATAGAATCAGATGAGGTTATGTACCATGTCTGGCACTAGGTAACCACTCAGCAAATATTAGCTATTATTAAATCTCAAAATATGCAGTAAAATATGATTTCTCTGTGTCTTGGTTTCTACATCTATGCAATAGGAAACAGCAAACTGTTAAATCAATTTTATTTGTAAAGCATGTAAGGAATCTGAAAGGAAAGATCACTTTATCAAAGTGAAATATTCCCAACAATACGATGGAAGATTTAATCTAAGCTAGATAAATATTATTATTCTCATTATACAAAGGTCAGAATGATGCTGGGAACTAAAGCAACTTGTCAAAAAATGTCAGAGTTTGAGATTAGAATGCTGGTTTTCCTAGCTCCTAGGAATACTGTTAGACAGAGGCTTTCTGAAGCAAATAATCCCCATCCATTCAAATTATTTCAAACACTCCAGATGATTACAACTCAGTCAATTTTTTTTTTTCTTCTTCCATTGAGCTTACATCTCTGAGTTAGGCAAATAGTTTAGTTAAGGAAATAAAATCCCACACGCTTGTGAGACTGCAGCATTGGCTAATCAGGGTGGATGGCTATAGAGGACAGAAGGCGAAGGATCTTCTTTGTAGAAATTTACAAGCAGACCAGAAGAAAGTTAGCAATTCAATCTCATACCACATAAATCAATTAATATTGAAAACCCAAAGAATCATCCCCTTCTAGGATAGTCATACACGGTAAGTTATCTGGTTGTACAAACCAAATAATTACTCATCCAGAATTAGATGTTCCCTAACTTCAAATGATCACAACATCATTTCCAGTTCTCAGGAAATATATAATATAATGTATTTTCCTGCCTCACCATAAATTTCCTGTGGTTTGCATTATCATTGCATATAATATCATAAGCTCCGTGCCTTGCTCAGTAGCTTTAAGACCTTTGTTCTGTTTTCTGTCCCTCTAAAGACATTGCCAATAAATTATAAAGTGACTTTAGTTTGTAAAATAGCAAAAGAAAATCGTCTTAGTTAATCTCTCTGAATGTGTTCATGGGCTCATAGGAAGTTCCAGTTCAGGTGCTAATGTAATCCTGTTATGCCGATCAATACTAAGACAATTTATAGGATTTTATCACTCCCTTCACAAGGTCCTCATGCAAAGCATGTAAGAACTACAAGAAAAATTCCTTTAAAAGCCTGTATCATTATTTTATAGTATGGGACTATTTTATTTAGGTCCTAGGCTCTTATCTAAGTAAGGAGGGCATGTGTGTGTGTGTGTCTGTATTTCATAATGTTAACACAATTAAACTTATTAACAAAGAGTTTATTGTGAAAAAATGATTCTTGGAAATCATATACTCCTTTGTAAACAGAAAAGGCTAAACATTATATACAAGTATAATATGATGTTCCTCTTTCACTACAACTTTAATCTTAATGACTACGTAAAACTCAATCCAGGAAAAAGTCCATTTTGTTATGCACACAAGCAAGCCAATTTTCACTAGGTAGAGTAGAAGATGAAAAAAAACAAGCCTCTCAACCAACCTGTATGTTCACACTTCACCAAACTTCCTGCATTTCTCATGCCTGTATTTTGGCAGGACAGGGCGAAGCACGGCGTGTGGCCTGGTGATAGACATGGCCAGGAGGGCAGGGTGTGGATGGGAACAGAGTACTCTGGTTGAAGGGGAGAGGACCTCAGGGAGCAGGACCAGCTAGCAGGGAAATTGGCTAAAGGCAGCTAAGTCGCTCTGTGGTCTGTATCTAAAATCAGCAAAAGACTTAATTTTGCCTGTGGTCTTGTCTATGTTTGGAATATGTGTCCATTGTAAGGCAAACAGTGAGGGTGTATTTGGCAAATTTTATGACTTTTGGTAAATGAACTCCTGATAAAATCCAGAGAAAATCTGACTAGCCCAAATTATGTGCTCTTTTTTACATTTTAAATTATTTTGAATTGTTTCATTTATAGAGACATGAAAATGATTGTTACTTTATAATTATTTTTTACATAAAACCAATCAATTCTGGAAAGACAATCTAAAGTGAATACTAATAACAAACTTCGAGGTAATTTTTTAAAAAGAATAAAGCATCTTTATATGTTAATGGCCTATGTTCATTGGTAAAGGAATCGTTATTAGTTTATGATGCTATTATTTAAAGATATGATGGGTATATTTTGGACCCAATCACCTATTTCCAATGCTCTGGCAAGCAAGTAAAAGTTGCCTATAGAGAATGTGAGACATAAACTTGGCTGGTGGATCTTATCAGACCTTCTATTTACAACTCAATCCTCTAATTTGTCTGCTCTCAAAAGTCCTGCTGAAGCCAAGGGGAAAATGCACACAGACCAGTCTCAAGGACCCTAAGCAGGAGACATCACTGGGGACGGTAGGTTCAAAGCAGTTGCAAAACCTGCCTTAACAAATACCATCTCAGGAAAATAACTAAAAACAAAGACTTGCCATGCTAACAAGAAGATGAAAGCAATACTGTGTTCCTGTGAGAGAGTTTAGAATTAAGCATATTTTTGTCAATTGGGTAAAAAGTTTTACTGTTTGTGAAATGGTGAATGAGATCATCTCAAGTACCTCAACGGTAGCACCAACATTTTGAGAAATTCAAATAGGAGCATGGTATTAACAATGTTTCGTGTGATAGAGCACATTTCCAGACACCATCTCAGTCATCTGCACGAATAACACGTTGAAGGAGAACTGTCTCTCAACCAGGAAAAAACCCAACACACCCACATTAAGTTGAGTCATCAGAGACAAATCTTTAACCGCTCAGGCATTTTAAGTGGCTGAAAATGACATCAGATTCCCAAAATAATCAGTCAAGACGGATTTATGAAACTTCATTGATACAAGCTTAATGATATCTAGGTTTATGTTAATAGACTTTTAAAGAACAATCCCTGTGTTTTTAAGTTAATGATGGTTTTCTCTAACATACTAGAGACAAAGTACGATGAGGAGGGTCATCTTAAAAACTTAAAATCAGGCCAGGCGCAGTGGCTCACGCCTGTAATCCCAGCCGAGACAGGTGGATCACGAGGTCAGGAGTTCGAGACCAGCCTGGCCAACATGGTGAAACCCCATCTCTACTAAAAATACAAAAACTAGCTGGGTGTGGTGGTGCATGCCCGTAGTCCCAGCTACTCAGGAGGCTGAGGCAGGAGAATCACTTGAACCCAGGAGGCGGAGGTTGCAGTGAGCCAAGATCGCACCACTGCACTCCAGCCTGGGCGACAGAGTGAGACCCTGTCTAAAAATAAATAAATAAATAAATAAATAAAAATTAAAATCATGAATTAAAAAATGTAAAACAATGAAATGACGGGGGTTTTTGGACACCTGCAAAGGAAACGACTGTGCTCAGTGATAGCTGCCATTTTAGGAAATCCAGTAAGAAGTCCAAACAGAGAAAAGCTAAGATGTTCAGAATGCTATTTTTAAATGCGACCTTTCTTTCCTCCATCTCTGATATTAACATTCGAACAAGACAAAAGGCGATTGGAGGAGCTGTATGACCACCTGGCTGCCGTGAGACATAGTTGAATCCTCAGTTATTGTTGACAACTAAACGGCCTTTGTGGGAGCAGGGCAGGCAGCTGGTGGTGGTCCCAGAGGAGCCCTGAGCTCGCACAGGAGTACCCGAGGCAGATCCTGCCATCCGCTCAGGCTGTGACGATGGCCGCGAACACCCCTTGTATTGACAAAGTAGAAAGAAGAAGTAGAGCAGGGGAATTCTTCCCTTAAATTCACTTTTGAAAATAGGATATACTCTATAAAGGAAATGCATATGTAAATGTGTTATTAGAGGCCTTGTGTCCCTTAATTTAAAATTAGAAATCTCATTTTGATTATTTGCAAGAATATTTTCTCTAATTCCAGACTTTGCTTTTATAGCAAATGTAACAGGGATTGGCTTGTTGGGCTTGGTGAACTTCAGCATTAGTTAAACATTTTGCTAATCTCTCTGCATGTCGGTTGGAAATGTTGATCCTTTCTAGATGGGTCCTTGGTCCCAGGGCATGCTCTCCTGTGCTCAGAGCCTTCTGCAAAGACTCTGCCGCCCCTGGTACACCTCATTAGGACCAGCTTCCTAAGGTTTAGTGAGGCTAAACGCTTCCCCAGTGCCCCATCCATACTGCTGCAACCTATTTGTTTTGCTTCTCACCTCAGGATCAGCTCGCCTGTGCCTTCCAACACGACAATTAGCTAATTTAATAAATCTAATGTGCCGCTGAGACAGACTCATAGGAGGGGCCCTACCATTGCCTCTGGGTTTTTTGTTTTTCTCCTAGGATCTTCTTTTCCTCATAAAATCTGAATTTTAATAATACATTCTAGAGGAAATGCGCTCACTTCTATTTCTGAAATGGCAAATAAATTTCATTTTTTGAGCCAGCTTTGATTGACTGAGATGGCTATGGCGTGGATTCCGAAGTCTAGTCTAGGTGTTTTGGGAAAGAGTTTTGTGATTGATTAGTGACGTCACCATAGGTAGAGGAATGGGCACCATATATAGGCTAACCTTGCTCTATTTAATAGAGCTAAGGCTAATGGTAAGTAGCTCCCCAGTGTGTTAGCACGTTAGCTCACAATTTTACTAATTTCAGGGTACCAACAGTTTTAACACTTTATATATATATATACACACACATATATATATGTATATATATGTATATATATAAGTATATATGTGTGTGTATATGTATATATACGTATATATGTGTATATACGTATATACACGTATATATACGTATATATGTGTATATACGTATATACACGTATATATACGTATATATGTGTATATACGTATATACACGTATATATACGTATATATGTGTATATACGTATATACACGTATATATACGTATATATGTGTGTATATACGTATATACACACACAGATATATGTATATATAATATAAAGTATTATACTGTAGTACTTTATAATATATAAGTATTACATATAGCACATAAAGCATTCTATACATAATAATTATAGTTCTATAGTTCTCTATATATTATATAGAGAGTACTTTACTCACAGAGAAAGATTATGTCCTTCATTCAAATGAAAATATAAATGTAGACAAAATTTGACTTCTACTGGTCAGCTTCAGAGTGTTCCATGAATCACATCCATGTCACTTGGAGAAGCTGATCCCACAGACCCTCTCTGAGCCCCAGAGCTTTTCTTCCCAGAGGAGTTTCTTTCAGTTCCAGGCTGGTCCCTAGAAGTCCTTGATTTGTTGACTTTACCATCAGAGGAGAAAGGGAGGCCTGGATTAGTAAGCGGTGCTCAGGGAACAAGGGACAAGTGTAGGAAAGAAAAACATTTTGGAATCAGGACAAGTGTTCAGTGGTTCTAAAGTAATGGTACTGATATTCTTCTGTCACTGGAAGCTCTTCTCTGATGGCAGTTGCAATGTGCATTGAACAAAGGTAACATAAATTCATAAGGCAAGGGCCTCCCAAGGAAACTCATTTGGAAAAGGACACTTATTTGATTGTTCTAAGCTTTACTGCATCTGCTAGGAAAAACACGCCAGTGTTAGTGTAGTCATAAATTTAATCCTTACACATTATTTTGAAAAACACAGGAAAAAACTCCAAAACTTCATTTCAGTGGCAGCAGCAGCCTGGTATAAGCCAAAGTCTTGGGCTCAAGACTGAGATTGGAAGACTTGGGATGCAGTTTCGGAATTAAACACACCCATTTGTTTCTTTGAATGCTCGCCATTCATTCAAGGGGAAAAGTGGAGAATTGTGATATAATGGACAAGTAAATTGATGGCAGGGGTTTTTCGTTTTTGTTTTTGTTTTTGTTTTGTTTTGTTTTGTTTTGAGAGGCTGAGGTGACTAAAATACCATGAAAGTGCAAGGTGAAACGGGCTCTAAAAAAAAAGATGGATGCTTGCTACAGGAAAATTTACAAAAAGAAAAGATTCAAATAAAACAGATATTTTTAGGCCTGTCATGAAAAACATTACTGAAGTGCTTCTGTATTTCCTTACAGTTATTCCCAATATTCCCTTCATCTAATGAAGTTCCTCCAAATTTCATGATCCTTGTGACAATCCACCCCAGACTATGGTGAGAGACCCAGAGCTGCAGCAGTTTTGGTTGTGGTTATTCTGACATTGACCCGAAGGGAGCAAGAATGTTTCTCAGGAGGTAAGAAATTGCTAAAGAAAACTTTAAAATGATCCAAAAAGTGTTATCCACCACATGTTGCAGGGTATGGTCCATAAAATGTGAGTTTCTTTCTCTCTTGTTTCTCCAGACTTTAGTGAAAGCTTTAGCTTCTAGGATGCTTTGAGGCCATGCCTGGTATCCATGGCAGGTCAGACAATTCCGGCGTTCTTTACGTCCATCCCTTTGGTTCAGAATGCGTGGTCTTCTAGTAATGTAATATTCCTACATTCCATAATTATATTGCTATTTGCTGAAATTTGAGCTGATTTCAGAAGGATAAGGAAATATTAAGTACTGCCTGGAATTAGTGAAGATTTGTGTATGGAAGCCCAGGAGAGGAAAAGTGCTAAAGCAGGAGGCAATATTCTGTGAGTTCTGGACTAGAAAGGCCAGGGCGATTGTTCTAACTATCTAATGATGATCACAAATCACCTCATGACTTGATGGTGCAAAATAACCATTTGTTATGCTCACAGAGTTTAAGGGCCAATAATTCAGACAGGACACAGTGGAGATTGCTTGTCTCTGTTCTGTGATCTCTGGGGCCTTAATTGGCTGACATGAAGGCTGGGGACTGAAATAATCTGAAACCTTGTCATTCATATGTTTGCAGTTGATGCCGGCTGTCGGTTGGGGGCCTCAGTTCTTCTCTATCTAGGTCTCTCCATGAAGTCTCTTTGAATGGGCTTAGTCTGTGATTCCCCATAACACACTGGTTTATTTCTCCAAATAGGTGTCCGCAAACAAGGGGCTAGAGGGGAATCTATATATTTTTAAATATGACCTATCCTTGAAAGTCACGCAGCATCACCTCTGCCTTAATCTATTGTTTGCAGCAGTCATGATCCTGCCCAGGCTCAAAGGAAAGCTGAATAGACTCCACCTCTTGATGGAGGGTAGCCAGATTCTGAAAGAGCATGGGTTTGGAAATAGTATTCGACCCTTTTTGGAAAATGCAATGCAGCAGTAATTGGAAGGCAGGAGCCAGTGGAAAATTAGCTTGAAATGAAGCTGCCGAGGTGGGCAGGGATTGGATTCTACAGACTATTGTATGCTACATTAAGAATCTTGGCCTTTTTTCTAAAGCACATGGAGAGTCATCAAGAAGTGTAGGCATGGGAGTATCAGACTATAATTTGCTACAGCTCAGATGATGGACTGGAGTGAAGCAAAATTGGATGTGGGGAATCCAGTTAGGAAATTTTGGTGATCAGAGTTGTGGTGAGATACAGGGAGAAATGAATGAATATAAGAAATAAATAGGAAGTAAAATCAAGTGGATCTGGATATGGGAAATGAAAGAGACAGGGGTGTAAAGAATGACTCTCAATGTCTGGGATGTGCAACTGTGAGTATGATGGTGTCCATCAGTAAGGTAGGGAAAATTGGAGGGGCATCAGGGTTTGAAGTAGAAATATAATGAGTTCAGTTTTGGGCTTTAGAGAAATATGAGTGGACACTTTCAAGTGTGCAGTAGAATACATGGAGCTGGACTTCCAAGAAAAGGTCAGGGCTGGAGATACGCATTTGAGAGTCATCCAAGTATAGTTAGTAACTGTAGCCACTGGCATGGATGGAATTTTCTTGGGAGACTGTAGACATTTAATCTAGCATGTTGACTGAATACAGAGGATAGTTTCTGCAAAGCAGCTGGAGAAGATGCAACTGAGAAGCTAGAGGGAAATTGAAGAGAATGATGTCACAGAAGCCCAGAGAAAGAGTGGTGGAGCCAGGTAACTGCTGATGGCATAGAATGCATCTAACAGTTCACATGAACTCTAAACTTGTTCCTTGGATTTAATGACTTCTGTGATGAAGACTCAACTTCTTAGCATGACATATAGGACCTTGCTAAGGAAACTTTTAAGGTTTTATTTTTGTTTTTAACCTTCTAATATTTTTCACTAAAAATAAAATAGGAATTATAAAAAGGTATTAATTTTATAAAGCATAATACCTTGCTGTATAAAACACAATATTATTTATTCCACTAAAGGTATCAGAAAATAAGGGAGAGAACATTTCAAAATAGAATTGGATGTCAGGACTTTACTCAGGAACATAATCCATACGAATCCCATTTTTTCTTTGAAAAATCAGAGTTATTTTAACTCACAGCACTTTTTATAGCACATCTATTATAATTATTTATTTGTAAATCAAATTTCTGTATATATTGGAATATGTATAATTATATATGTAATATATATGAAAATAAAAAATATTATTCAAATGTATTCTGACAGTTTCTCTGAATCACATATCTGTTTCCAATTGTCAGTTTTTAATATGTTTTCATGTAGAGACTTGTATGTACAAATGTATATATGTATGCATGCAGATGGCCTGTTAAGCTTAATGTGACTGTTTTCTTTTTCAGAATAAAATTCAATTTACTAGTCCTAAACTGAAGAGAAGAACAAAGTAATGCTTCATTATACTTGTATAAATAGCTGTATTTTATCAAGACTAAAATATTTTTGGGGGGCGGGGCCAAGATGGCCGACTAGAAGCAACAGCATTAGGAGGCTCTCATGGAAAAAAGCCATAATAAGTGTGTGAATATTTCACTGGCAACCAAAGTATCCAGGTTCACTCATCAGAACTGACTAGAAAGCTGGCGGGACCCACGGAGAGAAGGAAGAGCAGTGTGGTGTGGTGGCCCACCTGAGAGCCACATGGGAAAGGGGAACCCCCTCCCCCCAGCCAAGGGAGGCGGTGAGTGGGCACTCTACGCAGCTGGGGAAACTGCTTTTTCCACGGAACTGTGTAATCCACGGATAGGAAGATCCTACTCGCGAACCCAGGCCACCGGGGCCTAGCATCCCAACCCCAGAATGTGCAGATTTTTACAGCCTCTCAGCTGGAATCTGGTTAAGCCAACCGAACTCCCAGGGGGAGGGGCAACCAGCACCAGCTGTGGCTGCCTGGGGTCTAAGCCATTTAAGCTCCTTGGAGGAGGGGGCAGTAGCCAGCACTGGGACTCCAAACACCTAAGCTCCTTGGGCAGGGGAAGGGCAGCACCCATTTCTATAGCTCCAGGCTGCGCTTTTCCCCTGCTGGAGCCAGGGAGGCTGGACAGCTTGGTCCCAAGACTTGTCCCCACAGCCCAACGCACGGGCTGTGGCAGTCTGTGGCCAGAGTGCATCTTCAGGTCTAACCCTGACCCATCCTTCCTCAGTGGGTGGGGCTTATCTGCAGGCTCTCCAATAACTCCAGCCAGAGGCTCAGGGACAGAATTCGGATGTCCCAGGACCTGAGGCCCTAGGGGGAGGGGTGGCAGCAGTCTCTGCATACCAGGAGAGCCTCCTGGTAGTTCTGAGGAATCTGGGCAGCCTTGATAAGTGGGTTTCCCTCCAGCGAAACACACTGTCTCCACCAAGGGACAAAGTGCTTCATTAAACAGGTCCTGCTCCCCATGCCACCCAACTGGATGAGACCCTCCAACAGGGGTTGTCAGACACCCTATACAGGAGCAATCCTACTGGCATCAGGTTGGTGCCCCTTGAGGTCAGAGGTCCCAGAAGAAGGAGGAGATACCCATCTTTGCTACTCTCCAGCCTCCTTGAGTGACATCTCCAGGCACAGGAGCAAATCAGATGGATAGGGCCTGAAGTGAACCCCCAGCAAACTGCAGCAGCCCTAAAGAAGAGGGACCTGACTATTGAAAGAAAAACAAACAAGCAGAAAGCAGTAACAATAGCATCATCAACAACAAAAACAAAAAGTCCCCACAAAAACACCATCCAAGGGTCAGCAGCCTCAAAGGCCGAAACTAGACAAACTCACAAAGATGAGAAAGAATTAATGAAAAAATGCTGAAAACCCAAAAGGCCAGAGTGCCCCTTCTCCTCCAAATGATCGCAACATCTCTCCATCAAGGGCGCAGAACTGGAGGATCAGATGGACAAATTGACAGAAGTAGGCTTCAGAAGATGGGTAATAAAAAACTATGATGAGTTAAAGGAGCATGTTCAACCCAATACAAAGAAGCTAAGAACCTTGATAAAAGGTCAGAGGAATGGCTAGCTAGAATGAGAGGAACATAAACAACTTGATGGAGCTGAAAAACATAGCACGAGAATTTCAGGAAGCATACACAAGTATCAACAGTCGAATAGACCAAGCAGAAGAAAGGATATCAGAGTTTGAAGACCAGCTTCCTGAAATAAGACATGCAGACAAGAATAGAGAAAAAAGAAAGACAAGGAATGAGCAAAGCCTCCAAGAAATATGGGACTTCATAAAAAGATCGAACCTACGATTGATTGGAGTACCAGAAGGAGATGGGGAGAATGGAAACAAGCTGGAAAAACACACTATAGGATATTATCCAGGAGAACTTCGCCAGCCTAGCAAGACAGGAAAATTCAGGAAATTTTGCAAATTCAGGAAAACAGAGGACTCCATTAAGATACTCCACGAGAAGATCAACCCCAAGACACATAATCATCAAATTCTCCAAGGTTGAAATGAAGGAAAAACTGTTAAGGGCAGCCAGAGAGAAAGGCCAGGTCACTTACAAAGGGAAGCCCATCAGACTAACAGCAGACCTCTCAGCAGAAACTCTACAAGCCAGAAGAGATTGGGGGCCAATATTCAACATTCTTAAAGAAAAGAATTTTTAACCCAGAATTTCATATCCAGCCAAACTAAGCTTCATAAGCAAAGGAGAAATAAAACCTCTCCAGACAGGCAAATGCTGGGGGATTTTGTTACCACCAGGTCTGGCCTGCAAGAGCTCCTGAAAGAAGCATTAAATATGGAAAGGAAAAACCAGTAGCAGCCACTGCAAAAACACACCAAAATATAAAGACCAATGACACTACAAAGAAACTGTATCAACTAGTGTGCAAAATAACCAAATAGCGTCACGATGACAGGATCAAATTCACAAATAACAATACTAACCTTAAATGTAAATGGGCTAAATGCCCCAATTAAAAGACACAGACTGGCAAATTGGATAAGATGTCAAGACCCATTGGTGCGCTGTATCTAGGAGACCCCTCTTACATGCAAAGACACACATAGGCTCAACATAAAGGGATGGAGGAAAATTTACCAAGCAAATGGAAAACAAAATAAAGCAGGGGTTGCAATCCTAGTCCCTGAAAAAACAGACTTTAAACCAACAAAGATCAAAAAAGACAAAGAAAGACATTATGTAATGGTAAAGGGATCAATGAAACAAGAAGAGCTAACTATCCTAAATATATATGCACCCAATACAGGAGCACCCAGATTCATAAAACAGGTTCTTAGAGACCTACAAAGAGACTTAGACTCCCACATAATAATAGTGGGAGACTTTAACACCCCACTGTCAGTATTAGATCAGCGAGACAAAAAATTAACAAGGATATTCAGGACTTGAACTTAGCTCTGTATCAAGTGGACCTAGTAGACGTCTACAGAACTCTCTACCCCAAATCAACAGAATATACATTCTTCTCAGTGTCATATGGCACTTATTCTAAAATCAACCACATAATTGAAAGTAAACACTCCTCAGTAAATGCAGAAGAACTGAAATCATAACAAAGAGTCTCCCAAACCACAGTGCAATCAAATTAGAACTCAGGATTAAGAAACTCACTCAAAACCACACAATTTCATGGAAATTGAACAACCTGCTCCTGAATGACTCCTGGGTAAATGATGAAATTAAGGCAGACATCAAGAAGTTCTTTGAAACCAATGAGAACAAAGAGACAACGTACTAGAATCTCTGGGACACAGCTAAAGCAGTATTAAGACAGAAACTTATAGTACTAAATGCCCACAGAAGAAAGCTAGAAGAATCTCAAATTGACACTGTAACATCACAATTAAAAGAGCCAGAGAGGCAAGAGTAAACTAATCCAAAAGCTAGCAGAAGATACGATAACTAAGATCAAAGAAGAATTGAAAGAGATAGAAACACGAAAAAAACCTTCAAAAAATCAATGCATCCAGGAGCTGTTTTTTTTTGAAAAAATTAACAAAACATGTAGCTTGCTAGCTAGACTAATAAAGAAGAAAAGAGAGAAGAATCAAATAGACATAATAAGAAATGATAAAGGGGATATCACCACTGATGCCACAGAAATACAAACTACCATCAGAGAATACTAAAAACACCTCTAGGCAAAGAAACTAGAAAATCTAGAAGAAATGTATAAATTCTTGGATGCATACAACCTACCAAGACTAAGCCTGCAAGAAGGTGAATCTCTGAAGAGGCCAATAACAAGCTCTGAAACTGAGGCCGTAATTAATCACCTACCAACCAAAAAAGCCCAGGACCAGACAGATTCACAGCTGAATTCCACCAGAAAATACAAAAAGGAGCTGGTACCACTTCTTGTGAAACTGTTCCAAAAAACTGAAAAGGAGGGAGTCAATAAACAGTTATTGGTGGGACATATCTTAAAATAATAAAAGCTATTTATGACAAACTCACAGCCAATATTATATTGAATGGGAAAAAGCTGGAAGCATTCCCTTTGAAAACCGGTACAAGACAAGGATGCCCTCTGTCACCACTCCTACTCAACATAGTCTTGGAAGTACTGGCCAGGGCAATCAGGCAAGAGAAGAAATAAAGGATATTCAAATAGGAAAAGAGGAAGTCAAGTTGTCTCTGCTGGCAGGCTACATGATTTTATGTTTAGAAAACCCCATTGTCTCAGCCCAAAAACTTGAACTGATAAGCAACTTCAGCAAAGTCTCCGGATACAAAATCAATGTGCAGAAATCAGAAGCATTCCTTTACACCACCAATAGGCAAGCAGAGAGCCAAATCAGGAATGAACTCCCATTCACATTTACTACAAAGAGAGTAAAACACCTAGGAATACAGGTAACAAGGGATGTGAGGGACCTCTTCAAGGAGAACTACAAACCACTGCTCAAGGAAGTCAGAGAGGAAACAAATATATGGAAAAACATTCCATCCTCAGGGATAGGAAGAATCAATATCATGAAAATGGCCATACTGCCCGAAGTAATTTATAGATTCAATGCTATTCCCATCAAACTACCATTGACATTCTTCACAGAATTAGAAAAAACTATTTTAAATTTCATATGGAATCAAAGAAGAACCTGTATAGCCAAGACAATCCTAAGCAAAAAGAGAAAAGCTGGAGACATCACGCTACCTGACTTCAAACTATACTACAAGTCTACAGTAGCCAAAACAGTATGGTACTGGTACCAAAACAGACATATAGATGAAAGGAGCAGAACAGAGACCTCAGAAATAACACCACACATCTACAACCATCTGATCTTTGACAAACCTGACAAAAACAAGCAATGGAGAAAGGATCTCCCATTCAGTAAATGGTGCTGGGAAAACTGGCTACCCCTATGCAGAAAACTGAAACCGGACCCCTTCCTTACATCTTATACAAAAATTAACACAAGCTGAATTAAAGACTTAAATGTAAAACCCAAAACCATAAATATCCTAGAAGAAAACCTAGGCAATACCATTCAGGACATAGGCATGGGCAAAGACTTCATGACAAAAATGCCAAAAGCAATTGCAACAAAAGCCAAAATTAGCAAATGGGATTTAATTAAACTAAAGAGCTTCAGCACAGCAAAAGAATCTGTCATCAGAGTGAATAGGCAACCTACAGAATGGGAGAAAATTTTTGCAATCTACCCGTCTGACAAAGGTCTAATAACCAGAATTTACAAGGAACGTAAACATATTTACAAGAAGAAAACAACCCCATCAAGAAGGGGGTAAAGGATATGAAGAGACACTTCTCAAAAGAAGACATTTACATGGTCAACAAACATGAGAAAAACTCAACATCACTGATCATCAGAGAAGTGCAAATCAAAACCACAATGAGATACCATCTCACGCCAGTCAGAATGGTGATTATTAAAAAGTCAGGAAATAATAGATGCTGGTGAGGCTGTGAAGAAATAGGAATGCTTTTACACTGTTGGTGGGGATGTAAATTAGTTCAACCATTGTGGAAGGCAGTATGGCGATTCCTCAAGGATTTAGAACCAGAAATACCATTTGACCTAGCAATCCCCTTACTGGGTATATACCCAAAGGAATATAAATCATCCTACTATAAAGACACATGCACACGTATGTTTATTATAGCACTATTTGCAATAGCAAAGACATGGAACCAACCCAAATGCCTATCAATGATAGGCTAGATAAAGAAAATGTGGTACACCCATAGTATACACCATGTAATACTATGCAGCCATGAAAAGGAATGAGATCATGTCCTTTGCAGGAACATGGATGAAGCTGGAAGCCATCATCCTCAGCAAACTAACATAGGAACAGAAAACCAAACACCGCATGTTTTCACTCATAAGTGGGAGTTGAACATTGAGAACACATGGTCACATAAAGGGGAACAACACACACCAGGGCTTGTTGGGGGGTTGGGGGTGAGGCGAGGGAAATTAAAGAACGTGTCAATAGGTGCAGCAAACCACCATGGCACATGTATACCTATGTAATAAGCCTGCACGTTCTGTACATATATCCTGTTTTGTTTTGTTTTGTTTTTTTAGAAGAAATAAAGAAAAAAATACTTTTAACATAAGCCAACTACAATATGGTTACACATCCAATATTCTTCATATCTCTTTACTTACAAAAATGAATGTTTTTCCCCATTGGCATTAAGAGAGTGAGAATAAGAAAACAAGTTAAGTCTTGAAAGGCCTGAAGATTTATTTTTTTTTTTAGCATTCATGAATGAATTAGCTAAATAAAATTATATGATATATTGACAATATTTATTGGAACATGAAACTTACACACAGGGAAATATTTTTCAAATTCAAAGAACTATAAGACTAAAAGTTATTTTAAAAGAATTGCATATAGCAAGAAAAGAGTGTAGGCTGGTAAATCTAATCCTTGCTTTATAAAAAGTTGAAGTCTTTGACATGTGTAGTGACTGGTAAACATTAGTGAGATATAATTTCCCTTGTCAGTGTCACAATGTTGACAACCTGAAGCTCACAATGTGTAAATAACAAGAAAACAAAGTCAATATCATGTCCGTTTTGCATGTAACAGTCAAGCATCTGCTTGCAAAAAAATCAAATCATTACGGGAGAAGCTACAATGTTGTCCAAATTTTACTTAGTTTTAAATATATTCTTATAATTAATTATGAGGTATTTTGTCAAAATGACTAATATGTATATATGTTTACTTAGTTTCAAGCTGGTTACCCATGGGGTATAATATATTAAGTCTAATTTTATTTCCAAACCTTTGTATTGGGTCAGCTGACTTCAGGTCATTTGGAAAGAAACACTGGTTGCACACTTCGATCACAGTATTTTAAACTGCAAGAAAATGTTAGTAGCCCACCTGCTTATACTAATTTATATACAGTGTTGTTTTCCAAGAATTCTGAGAAGATGGACATAAAATATAATTGTAATTAGAGAGATGCTGAACTACAAGAAAGTAAATGTGGGTACTTAGTCATCAAGAATACCCGCTGATTCCTAGGTAAAGCTGATACTTAACTTACCTGCATGCTGTGCATCTACTATTTGTATTTCCAGAAATACCCATTATTCAAGTCACTAGTGGCCATCCAATTAAAAAAATGATCAATATATCTCACTTGAACAAGCATAATACGTCAGTTGATCTGGTGACAGTTATATACAAGTTAGTTGGCATAAAGGTCTACTACACAAAAAAATTCAAAGTCAAGAGTCAAGGCCGATTTGAGCTTTCGTATAAAGGCCGTGTTTTAGGACATAAGGTAAAGGTATGTGTTGGTTGCTTAAGGGAAAAATATGATGCAGAAGTATGGATGTGAATGCAGGTCTTCTTTCAGAAAGAATGGGTGGTCTATAGCCTACAGGTATGAATAGCAAAAAGCTTTGCCTCAATGTTTTATTATTAGTATTCTTAAATAAGGGCAGGAGTAACAGTTTTTTGAGGTCCACTTGGGAGTTTGTTGATTTTAAGAAGTTCATCAGGGATACTGGGATTCAATAGCAGACACAAAGTTAAGTTTGGAATCATGGAATCAGATTAACAGGTAGGAACCTGGTCTTATTGGACGGAAGCAGGACCTAACTACTAGTGAAAGGCAGTATTACCATCACAGGAGAACCAACCGAGAATGTGGAGTTCTTGACTAAAGTGAGCCTCTTCGTTCCTCCAGCCTAAGCCTAGACTTAATGAAGAGTCTGAGGAAAGGTTAGATTTAATTCAACTGGGGAAATGAGGAAATGGGGAAGGTGCAAGGAGCCACAAGGACTTTTACTGACAATCACCTAAAGGGAGAAGCTCTTTCTCTCTCTCTCTCTCCCCTGTGATTATCTGAGCCCCTGGTCTTCATCAACTCTGACTTGTTTCATGGGCATCCCAGGTGCTAGTGAAAGACCAATAAATGAGTTCAAGTAAACATGCTTTCTGTCTTGGAGAAAAACTTCTGTCTATTTTTGAAAGAGTTTCCTTCTGGCAGAGATCTAATATAAATGGGATTGAGGTTGCTTTCAAGGCATTTATATATTTCTCCTATAATACAAAAGAGAATATGATTAACTTTTCTCCTCAATAAGTCGAAAACCAAGGCAACAAGTTCAATTGAAATTTGGGAAAACATTAATGACATTTAAAGCCTTTTCAAAAAGCTTCTTTATTGGTATGTGATGGTTATAGTATTATAAACTTCATACAAGTTCCTATGCTGAATGATCTATGGAATTTATAAAGTACCAATTGTTGAACCAATCAACTTGATCTCACTTTTTCCTTTCTTCATTTTAGAAATACCTTAGGTCTCTCATATAGAATAAAATCCACCTAAATAGTCTTAGAAAAAAGGCCATTTTTCTCTTTTTATGTGTTGCTTATCTCTGAATTTTTAACAAGTCTAAATATATGTGCCAACATTCTTGAAAAGAACTCAATGCACTTTAGAGATACACATCTGCATTCTCTAAGTGCACAAGTCGCTCCTCAAGTACCTGCCAGTGTGATTATATATTTTTTTTCAGAACAACTATGCAGCAAAAGTAGTAGTTGATGGAAGCTATAATTTACTAAGTGGTACCATATTGGTCTGAAAGAGTCATTATAGCTTCTAAAAGAAACACCCTTCACAAGGAAATTTTGGTTTCTTATGTTGTTTGGTTAGTTACCGAACAGTAACAGTGTGATATACCACTTTCAAGTGGAGGCAGGTTCCATTTAATAAACAGAAAAACTGAAGCCCAGAGAAATGCACCCACATTCAGCATTTATGCATAGATAGAGAGCAAGGAACAGAGACCACTTCTTTTTATGCCAAGACAAATGAGAATTTCGAAAGACCACCCACATTTGCTAACTATGTTATTTTGTTTCTTCGATGTGCAGCCAATTTTGTAGAGTTTTTTTTATATTGAAAAACACCAAGACCCATTAAGCTAGAGAAAATATTTTATATTTGAACTACCTAATGCTGAACTGGTTGACCGCAAACAGGTTATATAACAGGATGAAAGTGAGACACTTTAGATAGGGATTTGAATACAAATACCTTGGTGGGTGGTGGTGGTGAAGGTAGTTTTGAAGCTTTAGAACAAATAAGATTTTCTGGTTTGTTCTGTTCCGTGAATTATTAAAAAAAAAAAAAAAAAAGGAAAGAAAACTGCCTTTCTCTGCTTCGGCCAGGGCTTTAATTCTTCAAAACATTCCTGAGATTGCTCTTTTCAACTTTCATGTTCAAAATTATTATTTTAGACTTTCTTATTATATAATCAGCCACCGCTCAACTTATTCTCCCTAATCAACTTAAGATAATAGTCTTCTTTCTGGACTTAACAGATAGTTCTAACAAAGCCTAACATCGCTGACTTCTCTAATTCGGCAAATGTAAACCTTCATTTTTCCCAAATTGTAGACTCCTGTTTTCTTAGATGAAGCAAGAAATATTTTAGAGTCTCAAAATACATTGTTTCTTATGTATTTATTTTAATGCCTATATTTGTACTGGTTTAAACATTTTAAGGGTGGCCCTTGACCAACCATGGATTGGTACCTGGATATTGTGGGTTCATAATAAATAATCAATTGAAGCAAATATCTCTGACAGCAATATCACCTGAAAGCAAGACGAAATGCTTGCAAGGGATAAGTAGAGACCATCCTATAAATATCAGACGCAGTCACATCTAGGCGAATACTCCCCTGGAAAGTGCTTTTCCTGCTTGAGAATGGTTTCCTTTCAAAGGACAGGTTCTCAATGCTTTGGGAGAACCGATTCTTGGCTAGAGAAGGGCTGTGGTGATCAAGGAGGTCCCGGTGGTATAATTTTAGCTTTTGCAGAATTTTCCATTGCTTATTTTCAGCAATACTGCTATTTCATCATTTCAATGATTGCTCCCCCAACACTGACTGACGATTTTATTGGATGCAGAAAGGGCTGAGTTGGATTATATTTCACTGAACAGCTACACAGTCTGAGTAAAAGCAGTCTTTGGAAATGAAATAATCCCATCTAATTGACTACAGTGAAAAAGAAACAATAAAACCAGTTGATATGACGTAGAAAATCCAGCGCTAGAATGTAGACTAAATTTTCACCAAATTAAAATCTCTGAAGTCTATTGATAATTTTCATCAAATGGATTAAAATAACTATGGATGAAAATTTTCACAGGTTTGGAAGGTATGGAGTTTCTTATTATTTTATATTTAACATAAAGGTTAAACTCATTAAATACTTAATAAGCATAAAGTTTCTAGGAGTTAATGAATTGCTGCTCTTTTCCATAATGAACTTATATCAAAATTGGAGGACCTAGTTTGAGGTTGAAAATGAATTCTCGATATGTCAAATCCTGAATACAGCAATGTTCTAGTCACATTTCCATAATAACAAAACATCTTCATTAGATTTTGTTGCGAATGAAACTTATGGATGGGCTGTATTTTGAAAAGTGATATAGGCCATTTTAATATTGAAGAATCCTGGAGGTCTTCCCCTTCATTTTATGTCTGATGTGTTGGATGACATTTGGTAGCTCATGCCATGTTGTCACTTGTAGATGCAGATAATATAAACTCATATTTTTTCAGGAATGTTATGACACTAACTTTATTCCACGGAAGCACTGTATTCTCATTGCTTCACAAGTTTTGTATACACATAATATTCTTCCTCATCCCTATGAAGTCAACTAAATTGTCAATGGCAAAGTAGGCTGTCCTGCAACTTCCAAGAAATGGGTGGTAAAAATGTGTCGGGACAGGCAATACCTTAGGCCAGTCTCAGAACTTTGCCTGTGTGTCCTGGTTTCTTTGCACCATCTACTTATTGAACATTACAGGACAACTTGCCACTCTCTGGAGCACCTGCCTGGTCTTTAAGTCCTGACTTTTTCTTTTCACACTCCTGTCATCATTCACAAAGTCTCTTTTTAGTAGAAGAGAAATATGGAGCAGTAAATGAAATCAAGCATATCCTGTAACAGAAGGATGAGAGACAAGGTTGCTGGTGCCAGGAAAATCTGGCAATTGTGACAGGGGCTCAAAATCTGGAATTAAAGGGAAGGACTCAGGAAATCAAAATCAAGTCCTCAGAAACCAGAATAGCGACTAGCACTCAACCACCAGCCAAGAGCTCTGCTAGCTGCTTTACATGTAGTATTTCCAATTGTTCCAGGAGTGAATGATGTTTTATTTTGACCATTTTACATCTGAAAAAACCGGAGTTCAGAGAGGTTAAATGTCTTGCCTCAGCTCACAGAACTAATAATTGTTGGAGCTGGGAATTTGACCAGGGCAGTCTGATAAAATGCCTATATTCCAAGTAGTATGTTATCCTGCTTCAGGATACCTCTAGGGGGCCCAAGGCTTTGTCATAATAAGGAAGGAAAACATACAGTTATTGGAACTAGGGTGGGAAGTTCTAACAGGAATGGGTTAATGATGATTTAATGGCTGGAGAGGTTTGAGCTTTTCTGCTGAGGTCATTTGGAGAAATTGGTCTCAACATCTAGGGTGGGGTTGTGTTGGCAGGGCTGAATTAAGTAGTCCCCTAGAACCTCTGCAATTGAGGAATTACTCATTAGGGAACCAGACAGCTAATTGCATGCCATAAATTGTAGAAAGGCAGCACAGGCAGCTCAGTTAGGCTATTTGGGTACTGTTTGGTCTTGATACCTGGCTAGGGTACGGGGGAAACAATGTCTTTCTCTTAGGACATCTCGGAGTAAAAGACGGGTTTAGGTACAGGAGAGAACAAAGCCTAATTGCTCAGCTTTTGGAGCTTCCTTATTTATTCTTTCACTTGTTTCAGCGTTGGCCTCTGTAGGTGATGTTCACTAAATACTCCTTGTGGGCATGGTCCCTCTTAGGTTGGCAAAGTCATTACCAGTAGAGAACAAATCACACTCAATTAACACATGGATCAGTAGGCAGTCATCAGCTAATACAAAATTTGGATTCTGTGCATGATTTTAAAAAGGGTCATAAATTTGGAAATGACCATGACCCTCATCAGATGTTCATGAGAAAAGAAAACTCATTATATCTCACAAGTCACCAGCGATTAAAAGCATGTTAGTGGCAAACAGCAATATCGCACACAGAACTGTTGTGCAAACAAGTTGTCTCTTTTTTGGCTACCAATTCCTTTAACTATAAGAATCTAGAAGAATCTTTTTGTCCTGATTAGATTGTGAAATCTTATATAACTTTTCAATTAAAAGACAAAGCAGAGTAAATAAATCTAATTGTTTGAATAAGATTATAAATCCTGTTCTTGCCGCAATAAAGGAAGTTTGGCTTAATCCTTTTTTGTGCACTTGAAAGTAACATAGACCTTTTTTATTAGTTAGTCTTAAATCTCTGTGGAAGAGGGTGAGTGTTATTGTCTCCATTTTACAGATCAGCAAACTGAGGAACATAGAGCTGACGATGTACATTGCATCACATAATCTATCACCACAGCTTGTCCTGAAATTCCCAGCAATGCACCTTCAGCCTGTGGATTATCTCAGCGACACATTCTATCAGTCACTGACTTTACTCTTTACTACCATGTTTTTGGCAAAAATGCATCAATTCAGTTTCCCTCCTGCCTGGTGTTTTGATCGGGCCTTTCATGAAATGCAATAGATCTTTAACAGAGAGCCACACAACTAGGCATCTGTGTTCCTCTTGGGAGAACATGAGGCCAATATGATCTCATGATATTAAATAGAAACCTTCCTCTTGACAGCACTTCGGGAACATTGAATAAGTACATGTATGTACATACTCGCCCACCTCATTTAGGTGGTCCATGTTTTTCTTCTCCGTTGAAAGGTATCACACGTGCGCAGGCAGCCTCAGGCTTACGTACTGAGGACCGAATTACAAAAATAACCCATCAAGATAAAATGGCCACTATCATCTTTGCTGGGCTTGACACCAATAAAACCAACTATTTACGAATCAACTAGAGATGTTAGAAAGTCCATGATGTCTGAAGTGGAATAAGTGAAACAAACCTGAAAAGTAGAATATGGCTGATGTGCATAGTAAGTGTGACTCATCTCTAAGGTTGTCTTCTGCCTCTCCACAAAATCTGTAGACAGCCGAGCCCTAAAACTTTTACTTCACTATTGCAAGGGTTAAAATTGCATTAAATGATGATTTCTTTGCATCAAAGCTTACTGGTTGCACAGGAGGCTTAGGAAGACCATCAGTCATTCATTCATTGTGTGTTGCCCCATTATAATCCGCTCCTCAGAAGAGTCAGTCCAGACCAGCTGCTTCCCAGACAGTCTCCTTTCTCAGTCAATCCCACTACCATTGATCCAGTTTCTTAGACCTCGAACATAGTGGCCACCCTTGTTCCCGTATCCAGTACATCTTCAAGTTCTGCTGATCGTGATTTCTTTGTCTCCAAAATACACCCAAATCAGAGCACTTAAGTGCTGCTGGAATAACCTTGATCCAAGCCACAGTTGTCTCAGCTTAACTCTTTTATCACCTTCTAAACGGTGTCCCTGCAGTGCATTCTCCACTCACCTGACAGAATGATGGGAAAAAAGGAAATCAAATCAAGTCAGCACCTCTTCCCTAAAAGTGCTCCCCTGGCAACCAGTGCTCCTCTCCCTGGTTCCTGGTTCTCTCTATGTTCCCCCTTTCACTCTCTGCTTCAGCTGTCCTGGCATTCTTTTTGTTTCCTAAAACTGCTAGGCTCCCTGGGCTCTCAGAGTCCTTGTGCTTGATGTTTTCAGCTTGTAAGCGTTCCTCCTGGGTCTCAGCATGGCTGTCCATCATCCATTCCTGCTCACAGCCATCTGCTCCAGAGGTTTCCTGAACTCTCCTGGCTAAAGCTGTCCCCTTCTGTACTGTCTCTGCCCCCACCAGCCACTTCATCCTTCACTGTCTGCACAGCTTGGACGGCTGTCCACTTTTGTGTTTCTGTGCTTGTCTTTCCTCCCCCAGGAGAAGGTAAGCTTGAAGGTAATTTTTTTTTTTTTTTTTTAACCGTAGCGACCCTGGTTTCTCTAGTAGAAGTTGGACTATCCTAGGTGCTTGATCAATAGCGGTCAAGGCCAACCACCATTCCAATGCTTTCCTCTTAACACTCATCCACCATCATCTTCTCTGGGTTATTGAGTTTGCCTGAGGAGGAGGGGAGCCTATTTTAGAGTCTGGGGCTCTTGAGGGAGGAAGGAAAGGGCTGCTAGTGAGGTGTCACTGTGGGAATCACTGTCTTAGTCTCCTGAGTGAGACATCTGGGACCTGTGAAAAGAGGTGGCAGCTTTCTCTTATAAATCTTACTTATTTTGAAATCTGGGCCACATCTGAGTTAAAGATGAAGGATCTGGTTTTGGATCCTGAAATAGATGACTATTTCATCATCTACAAAGTGGATCTAATTATGGTATCTGTCTCATAGGATTATAAGTAGGCATAAAATACTGAACGCAGAAGCTAATCTATAGCAAGTACTCAATTTTAAAATAACTTACACACACATATATGGGCGCCACACAAATACAGATGATTGTTTTTGAATTCAATTATATTTGTGGTTAATTAAGCTTAGGACAACCATTTAACATAATTTCTTCGGGAAATTATATACCTAAACAACCAACTCCCATGTAAATGCCTTTTGCAATACAACCTGATTGCCATTTGAGAGTTACTTGTAATGAAAAATATTTGTGCTTCCATTTTGTGAATAAGCTGCTTTCACATACACATTTTCCCACAGTTCTATTTTTCCAGCACTCACCCCATTGTTATTGAACAATTGACTTAGAGTGTATGTTCACTGTACAAATGGGACAAAGGCAGATGTAATTCACTGTATTGTTTCTTTTTTTCTTTCTTTTTTTTTTTGTTTGAGACAGAGCCTCCCTCTGTCACCCAGGCTGGAGTGCAGTGGTGCGATCTTAGCTCACTGCAACCTCCGCCCCCCGGGTTCAAGCCATTCTCCTGCCTCAGCCTCCCAAGTAGCTGGGATTACAGGTGAACACCATAATGCCCAGCTAATTTTCTGTACTTTTAGTAGAGACAGGGTTTCACCGTGTTGGCTAGGCTAGTCTCGAACTCCTGACCTCAAGTGATCTACCCGCCTCAGCTTCTCAAAGTGCTGGGATTACAGGCATGAGCCACTGCACCCAGCCTCATTCTACTTTTCTTAGAAACAAGAAACTAAATATAAATAAGTGTAGTTCAATTCCAATGAATCGTAATCGCTCTGCTTTATAATACAACGGAGACAAAAGAAATACAGAAGAAATTGTTATATTCAAATTGTATCTGAAAGCCTTATGTGATAGGTTGTGAAGGACAATTACATTCTAATTTATTCTACTTTTTGTTATTTACTCTGTTTTTCGTTAGCTAAACATTCTTGCTCATGAAAGCTGCTTTAATCTTGGAGACTAACAGTTAAAAAGGATGAATCATGCAATTGAGTTTTTGCTTCTTTCAATTTTGTTGATTTTTTAATGATTTCTTTTAGTTACATGAAAATGTTCAGTTTATAGATTTTATCAATACAACTATTGGCTGCCTGAAGAAAACAATTCAAGCCTTAAAGAGTACAAATTGAGTTCACAAAAAAAAAAAAAAACCCACAAAAAACAAAAAAACCAACAAACAACAAAAGACAAAGTAAAAGAAAACAAAACAATAGAAGCTGATATTTCGGGAAGCCACTGAACTATTCTGTAAAACTACCCAGCGAGTATGTCTTTTTACTGACAGACAGACATGTTGAGAATAAAATATGTATAACAGATTACTTATTTAAAACAATGACGTATTTTAAGACATCCTTATTGTATCTCCATCCTATTCAAAGGCATCTGAATGATTTGATTTTTTACTCCCTTAACTACCCCCTACCCCACCCCAATTTGAATTATCTATATAGGAAGTTTCCCAAAAGATACTAACTTGAACCAACCTGATAATTGTTTTATTGCTTATTGTAAAACAATGCACTTCAAAACATATAATGTTTTCAGATTTTAAATCAATCCTATGATTTCATTACAACTTTACAATTGTGAAATTACGTGGTTTTTCACAGTTTCACAAATATAGTGAACATTGAAAAGTAAGCTGAGAAAATCATTGTATGAATGTAATGAATATATTTCATGATGTAAAGACATGTATACAAACTTGGAGCTAAATATATTTATCAAATGGAGAGGGAAAGCAAACTCACTCTTAATATTTCCCCTAAGTCTTCTAAGTTTCATCTGGGGATTCTGCAGAATCTTCTCAATTACTTATTTTAAAAAATTAAAAATTCTGTCTCCAGAGAACCAACGGGCAGCATTCTTAAGTATATGTCTTGCTCTTTGCATATATATATAATTATTTTTCTTTATAGGAGTTCAGGGTGAGAAAATTGTACAGATAAGGTAGGGGATAATAATTAATAAAATTATTTTAATGCATCAGCTTTAATAAAATGTCTTTAAAGTTTGAGGCATAGGACATGGTTGGGTATGGGAAAGAAAAGCATTTTTTATTTTGTATGCCTCCCGGCTTAAATGCAAAGCACTGGCATAGATTCATGGTAATTCTTATGAATGCTTTGAGGAGTCACAAATGACTGTGTTTCTGAAACCAGTTCATTAGTTTCTCTAATTTATTATGTCCATACAAAAATGCCTCGCCACAGCAGACACAGCGAAGCTGTTCTTTAGCTACCAAATAAGTAGATAGAAGTTGCTCACGATTACTATAACAGCAATATAGTTTTTATGTTTGATAAGCTATATCATCTAATATTTCAAAGAATGATGCTTTTTAAGTGGGTAAGTCCAGCTTATCACAAAGTATACTGACCCTTTAATAGGAACATAATGAGTGAAGTTAGCATCTGTACCTCTGAAATAAAAACTTAACATCAACATGCCTATTAACAAAATGAGAAAAAAACTAATTAAAGCAAATTAGCCTATTGTGCGCATGCTGGATAAGACAGATTACTTCTAAAAATCCGAGAAGATAATCGTACCCATATGGGATATGTTTTTGGCATTTTTCATATAAATTGGACAGTTTTAGAGGATAAATACGGTACAAAAGTCCTTACAGGCAATTATGTCTTTACAATGCTGGTGTCTAACATCATAAAAGTATAATTTTAATTGCTATTAATTGCATTAAGTCTACTCTTATTGAATACTTAATGCCATCTCTGACAGTAGTACTAATTTATAGACTTTAATGAAGCTTCATGGTAGAAGTATGGAATTGTAGAGCCACTTAAACTATATTTTAAATAGTACATTTTATCTGTCAAGAAGTTCTGGGTATAAAGGCATTTCATTGGATATTTTTGTTTTTAAAAAACAGGTTTGCATTTCTCCCATTATTTTTGTGTGATAAAGTGATGTTGTCAATTTTTTTGTATGATAACTTTTGAAAAATGCTTCTAGTCGTGATTACCGCACATTTGAAACAGCCATTGCCTCCCCATTTGTCACGGATCAAAATATACCTGAGAAAAAATAAAATTATTAACTTGCAAAATTTGTTGCCATAATTCCTGTCTTTTTCAGGAGAAAGTCATTTATAACATGTAAAATGTAAAGAGATACAGAATAAATAATAAATATCATAAAAGAGGAGACTTCCAATGAAACAACAAGATAAATAGCTCTATCAACATTGCATCTATCAGTTGGCATTCATAGTAATTCTTCTAGTGCCACTAGTTATCGGAGGTCTCTGCTGTTAGTGTGATTTGCATTATTAAATTATGAGAAATTCATTCATCTCCATCAGTGCTAGTTTCAATATTTGTGAATTAGTAATCTGCCTGGTTGCACTAATGAGAGAACGCATCCATTATTGCTTTTTCAATTTGTTTTCGTGTTCATTTACTAAAAACATGCTGTTTGAAAGGGTAAAGACACCATACAGGAGATAAATTGAGTGCAAGAGAAATCTTTGCTCTCAGGTACCGAGACTTTTGGTAAATTCTAGCCTGTTATTTCCGTTCAAAAAGGCATGCTTAATAAAGTGAAGAAGCACAAATGTCAGGTAAAATATGCCATGTACTTTTACATGCCCTATCGATTTTTCCTGTAATTAAAGTGATGAACACACACGGTTTGGTAATAATGAAGCCAGATCTCCATTTGAGAATTTTTTTAAAGGTTTAGCAGTCAGTTTTAGCCTGTTGCCTTTTGGTAAAATATCTTTGCTCAGATTTCCCTAGGGACATATAAGTACAAGGCAGGATTGTGAGTAGTAAATCTAAGGATTTTTAGTAGTCTACAAAAGTTAATTTCCTTAGGTTCAGCTTCCACTGCCTATAAAAATAGGGGTGGGGTTGAAATCTCTGGAACTGGACTCCTCTCTTTCCACTGCAGTATCATGGCTGGCTACAGAGGTAACCCCTTCAATGCTGCATGGCCCATTTTCATCCTCAGCCTAACTTTGAAGGTTATTTTAGTTTTCAGTCTCTTTATTCACTCTTTCATGCTGAGAATGTCAACCAATTAGTGCCACTTTAGGTAATGCTTTTCATGAGGCTGACACTGGTCCACAAGGAATTAGACTGAGACCACCAACCCATTTCACATGGGCCAGTGAGTAGCCACTGGACGATGACAGCTTTTGATCACAACCTGCGTTTGGGTTCAAATCAATTACTTAACAGCGACAGGTTCCATACCACCCGATTAAGCCTGTGTGTCATTCAGGCACCCAGATTAATTAAAACAACAACTAGGCGGAAACCTTTTACATAACTTATTTCCACTGCTCTGCCCACCATGATCACTGACATGGAAAAGGCAAGCTAGTGCGAATCCATATTGAACCTGAGCGCTAACACTGGCTTCATCAATTTTTGCTGCTGTCTGCTAGTAGAAGAGGAAAAGGATCAATCTAAACTGAAAAACAGAACGGGAAATATCTTCTCAATTTTTTTCATTTGTAAGAGGTTGAACTTTAGGGGAGCATTTTTTCTTCCTAAGTGAAAACATATGTTGTTGAGTAGTTCATTTAATTTTTTTCTAATTTTGCTTTAAAATTGTTTCCTGTTTATGAAAGTAATTCACGCTTAATGTAGCATTTCAGAAGATATAGGAAAGGCTAGCCCAAATACTTCTAATCCTCCCCTACAGATAACAAATAATTGTTAAAATTTGCTGAATATCCTTTTGGTTTTTTTCTAAATTTATGTGTGCTTTGACCACATGGAATCATCACCTTGATTATTTTTTGTTATTTGCTTGCACCCCTTAGTAAGTATTTTGTGAATCTGTTTCCTATCAGTGATGCTATTGAATGACACAGGTATTTTGCCTTTCTTTCTCCTTTCAAATTGTCTGCTTGGCATTCTAAATTAGGAGTTCCGGGGTTTAATATTAGTGTTGATTATTATTAGTTAGTAATTTTCAGGCTCCTTTAGTTGTGAGCGTCATGGAGTAGGCTGTTGGTGGCTTCTAATAGCAGCAGCCATCCATTGATACAACCTCCTCGGCATGCCGCTTATTACTACACAACATTCACCCAAAGGGAAAAGCCAGCTTAGTGGGACTTTATACATAATTCTCCCCTGTGGGTTTAGAGGGGCTCCATATCACTCCCATAGAATTGGGTACCTGGACAGTAGGATGCTAGTTATTATTTTCAGGCTGAAAGTCACAGGGTTCTGGTTTCTGTAAATCTAGTGGCTAGAATATGGCACTTATCTATTAGGTCTGATTGAGGACACTGGATTGCTAGTCAAGGACTTAAAAAAATAACTTTATTGAGGACAACTCAGGATGAGGTGCAAATTCTAAGAATTATGTATCAAATCGTATGCACGTAGTTTATCCATGGTCACTCTGAGCTTGCTTACTTCAGAAGAAGAGACATTTCCAGCAACATTTTTCTTGTTTTGCTTGTTTTATGGCTGTATTTCCAAGAATACTTATATGTCTTCTTTAATTATAACATGTGATTAGGCTAGATGAAGCTTAAATAGCATAGTTTAAAGTACCTTTAATAGAATATCTACTTTTATAGAGGAAATACGTACAAGCTTAAAAGAACCTTCCTTTTCGTAGCTGGTTAGTACTATACATTGTACTAAATGAGATATTTATATGTGTAATCAGTAGAGCTTAGCCCTGATTAGACTCTGAAAATATAGATAATTTGGTAACAAATCATTTATATATGTACAATAATGCTATATAAGACCTAGGCTGGTTTCAGCAAGTGCATCATCCTCTTTGAAACTAGAGAAACTGCATTTCTTATAAACATATTTAACTATGTAGTACACTATATCTAATTAAGACCTACCTACTCTTTAATTATTCCAGTCACTTATAGGTTGAATTTTCAGATGTAAGCATTAAAAAACAGGTCTTAGTGGGACAGGTCTATTCATTTGGAACATTTTGGCCAGTTAATACGAATAGCTGCATCCAAGTCGATTGGTAATCACTAATGATCAGAACAGTTAACATAAACTGATAGATGATGGTGTAGCCCTTTCATTTTATGTGCATAGACAGCCAGTTTGGCTCAACATTAATCTTTTTACATCAACAATCCTACACAATGTGTCAGGAATAGTGAAAAGAAAGAAAACTGATTAAACGGAGATGTTGTAAGTGGACTGGGATATGGGAATCAACCTTTTGAAAATTGTTAATTTAAGTACTTTTACAGATATGTTAAAGAAAATTTCTAAAGATTTTTTTTTAGCAGTTTGTAAACTAGTCTTTAGGGTACTATATTCTGTTCTTGCTACCTCACTCTTTATCCTTAGGTGAAAAGACATGCCTTTTTGCCAGCAGCTAAAGCCAGCTCTCCTTTAAACACAGCTTCCATGACAACACCATCCCCACCCTGCTTCCATCCCTCTTTGTGCCTCAGGACACAGAGCTGCTCCTTGTTTTTCTAGTGTCTGTCCTTGTGAGTTTCTGGACCGTTGCTTTTCCTGGAAATTGTCCTCCTTTATGCAGGGCCCCTGCCTTCTGTTCCCCTGGTCTACTTCACTCTTGGCTCCTGGAGACCACGTACATATTTGAATCAAGTCAACATAGTAATTAAAACACCACTGGTCCGCAATAAATATTCATTAAGTTAATAAACAAATATAAGATATTTGGGGGTCTTAAGGCCAAGGTCTACTACAGTAGAATTAAGAAGCTTATAAAAGAGGGTAAGGCAAAGATGTCTTAACTGCTAAGTGGGGTCGTGGGGCAATGGACAAGGAACACCCTCAAATCAGAAGACTCTTAATGTGCATTGACCCAGGATACTGATATGTTTTGAGCAGGGAGAGGTGTCTCTGGCACTTCAATTCAGTACTGATAAACTTGTCCAAAGTCCCTCAAGAGAAGGCGCTGAAAAAAAAAATAAGAGCAGGCCCCTTTTTGGGTATCTACTAAATAATCATACCCATGAAAATAAGAGCAAAGACAGGTGACCTTGGGCAAATTACTTAACATACCTGTATCTCAGTTCCTTCATTTATAAACTGGGATTCATTATGATGCCACTTTGGAAGGAGACTGTGAAATTTAAGTGAATAATTTCAAGTAAAATACTTAGAAGAGTACCTGGTACCTAGTCTGCATTCAACTAATATTAGGTAATATTATTATGCTATCATCATCATCATCATCTTCCACAAGAAGAGTGGTGACAATAGAAACAACAGCTGTGTTCCTGGCTTTTGGTCACTGGTTTTTGTAGATGGCAGTAGGCAAGGACAGAGGAAGTTTAAGGAGCTGTTGCTGAATTAAAGCCCCAAATGGGCGAATAACCACAAGTCAGTGGAGGATCTGCAAAAGTGACAGGTAAGGGGTTGCTACGAGAGGTTGATGATTAAAAATGGAAGGATTTAAGATGACATATTATATGTGGAGAGAACTAGGCTATGATAATGATGGCACAGCAGGAAATATGATACAGGCAAAATAAAATCAAGTGAAAGGAATTAGGGAACATTAGGAAGTTCAAGAAGTAAAAAGATACGATAGTGAAGGAAGGCGGTAGATGAAATAAGATAGGAAGGCTGCAGAGACATCAGGGGCATGAGGACGAGAGGCGAGGGACAGATCCTATTTCTTTTGGAAATTGGGCTGGGAGTTTTAATTTCTTTCAACTCTCATTTTTTAAAAATCCATTTCCTTATTTAACCCCCTACCCCACTTAATTACGAACCTACCCATGTTTCCATTTCTCTCTTGCCCCTTCATCTTTCCTCCAGCTCAGCATTCTCTGCTTTGTGCCAACGATGTCATCTCTGTCCCTTCCACGTTTGTTTGTTAATGCCTTACCCCGTGAGCTCAATGTCCTCCTTCTGCCCTTATTACATTTGCTCGAATATTGTCACTCATCCAGAAAGAAAAGATATCTCTCTCTATATGTATATATAATTTTTGTTCAGCACTGAGTCTATTTTTTTGTTCAGTACTGTGAAGCTAAAGGGAACTAGAAATGTGTACTTCAGCTATGACATTTTCCTTATGCCGTTGTCTGACAGAAATTTAGAAAAATAACGAAACCAAAAGGTGATTTCTGCTGCAGTTCTGCATTTTAAATGGCAAGCTGAAGGACAACACTCTACGCATATTGAGAGAGTGGGTTTCTAGTGATTCAGGTTTCAGTTGTAACCTGTGGCCAAATGGATCAAGTGAATAATGGTCAAGGCTGTGTAAAAGGATTGTCATCCAGAGAAACTGGGAAGCCCAATTCCTTTGAATCTGTATCAAACTGAGAAAAAGATTGTTTAGCGCTGCAGTCAGGTGTAGTGCAGGATGAAGAGGGGAAACAGCCTTTTATCTCTCTCAGGGGCTCCGTTGGTTTTCTTCTTATCGGATTCCCTTACACAATTGCAAAGGAAGCTTTGTTCATATTTCCTGATTGCCAGGGGCTTGGGATGATGGAAGGAGCAGGACATTTGGAGTCAGACAGCCTAGATTCAAATTCTGGCTTTGCCACTTAAAAACTCTGTGACCTTGGGTAAGAGGATAGATGAAGAAATGGCCAGAAGAATAGACTGGGATCAGGGATAAAACAGGAAACACTTGAAGGGAACCAGGTTCAGGTCACAGTTTGGTCAGTTTTGTTTTGGGACGGGTTGGTTTTGAAATTCTGTTGAGACTTACTTCAAGGAAGATATATTAGAATTGGAGATACTGATTCAGGAGTCATGGGCATTGTGGAAACTTTGGAAGAAAATAAAACACACCCATTCTCCCATCATTGCTCCAGAAGTACTGTTCATAGTTTGGAGAATTTCTTTATAGCATTTTTTCTCAATTTCCCCACTAAATATTATGCAAATAAACACCTTTTTGTGCCTATAGATGTATATCTATGTCATCATTTAATGGCTGCATATAATTTCCTATGTTCACTCTTAATCCTCTGAGGATTTTGTAGTTCTGGATATGATCTCTAAGAAAGCATACTGAGGGAGAAGAGAATTCGACCAAGAACTGGAACCTTTACACATAGATGACAGGGGGAGTGAGAGTGGGCTGTTAAGAAGAGTGGGAAGAGGACGTGCTTGGAGCCAGATGAGAACCAACATCCCACAACGCTATAGGTATGAGCAGTGGAAGTTTAGAAAATATTGAAGGGGGAGTCATGGAGACTGATACCAAGGGCAAACCCCCACCAGACTTGGATATGAGGATGTTCTTAATTATCATGCGGAAACACTAAAGGTTGGGATTGGGAACAGAAGAGCTCCTGAAAATGTTAGCAGTAACAGAGCAGAGCCAGAACACTTGGAAGAGACTGAACATGCTGGAGAAATGGGATCTAGAAGAGGTGAAATGGTGGGAAATGCTGAATGGGGTGGCATCAGGAACACACACAGAAAAGGTGACCCCTGAGAGCAGGGAGAACACTGATCTTCAAGAGAAAAAGGAAGGAGGAGAAATGAATGGAAATGAGTATTTGTGCAGAAGAAGAAACGTGAGGGAAATCTGCTGGTTTTATCTTGTCAGTGCGATAGGAAGTTGAAATAAGAGGCTGGTAGAGATTAGGTGAAAGGGAAGATGTGGGCAGAGCCATCCTGAAGAATGCTTTAGGCAGTTAATAGAAACGGAAACCCTTGGTCGTTCAGCCAACTAGAGCCCTAATAGGATGCTGTGAATTTGTAGCCCATTCAATCTGTGGATTTCGACTTTGGCAAGTGGGTCTTGTCAAATATTTGGACAGTGCCAGAACAGTTCTGGATTGAGGCATATAAAAATGTATGAAAGAGGGGAAAAAGGGTGCAGGTAACTAGAGGTAGGTGAAGAAAGAGAAAAGAAACCTTAACTAGAAGTGCCGTGACAAAAGTACTGAATTATAGGCTACACTTGCTTTAAAAACAACCACTAAATCATATTCAAAACTTGTAAAACAGATACATGATGGAGTGCTATTCACATTATACAGGGATTGTTTATGTTAGGGAAAAAACCCCACATTTTGTTGCTTTGAATTGCTCATTGTTTATTTAAAATACAATTTGCTTGACAAAAATTCGATTTGCTAACATTTATGGGGACACATCTATTATCCAAAGTGAGGTTTACTCCCATTGCTCAGCTAATGCAGAAATTAAAACAATGGTGGGCAGTGCACAGATTCAGCACTTAGTATATCATCAGATTCTCTGCTGGCTCTGTGGTTTTTCATGAGACTTTTAAACTCTGATCTATTCCCCTCATTCACAAAACCAAGAGAATAATCTCTGCCTATTTTAGAGATGAGGATTATTTTACCTAGTGATAATTAATGACCTGATATCAGTAAAGCAGTCTCAGCTTCTTGCAGATAAAAAATATGTGTCCTGAGATTTCTACATTAGTCTATTTTTTTTTTTTCTCTATGGGAACCTTAGCTGATTTGCTACAATAAAGCCTGGGGATGTTTTTAGGGGCCATGTGATGTTCTGGGGACATGGAATTTTAAAATGTGTTTTTTTTTTCTTTTATGAGTATTACCATGGAAAATGATGCAATTATATACATTCTTTTTCTCATGAAATTTTTCGAAGCAGCAAAATACATACTTTATGTATGCATCCCTCTGAAAGAGATGAGCTACAATTCAGGTGAAGAGTCAGGACACATAAGACTGAATGAGCATTGCCCATTTTTCTTTTCTTAAAGATTGTATCTGATGTCTTCCCATTAGCAGCCGTCACTATTGGCCAGTGCAGCAATTGTATAATGATCATTCTTTCCCAGTATAATTTGATTTCTCTGTTCTTTGGTTTAAAAGACTTTTCCCTACTTCTCTAGTGAATTGTTTTTTATTTTCATACAGCAGTGTACACATTAGTAGTCAAATGCATTTATTTCAAAGGCACACACACACACACACACACACACACACACACACACACACACACGACTCTTTTAGACAAAAAGCAAGCCATAAAAAGCCGATGAGATTTTGGTATTTCTTTTAAAATTTATGGCTTAGTACATTAATGTCACAGTAATTCCAAATATTGTTACTCTATAATTTACTAGAGATTACTTTGCTTTGGAACATGCTACTCTGCCCCTGTTGGCTTTAGGCAAATAATATAAGGTTTATAATCCTTTGCAAAAGGCTTTTTTTTTCAAACACACAATGAAACACATATACACACACAATGTGAGTAAATAATACTGAATGCATGATTCAAAGCAGGCTAGAACAACTCACAAGAATTCTAGAGAGGAAAAAAGGAAGTCGCTTTTTCTTTCTTCCCGGAAATTTTAAACAATCCATAAAATAGAAAATAGTACTATTTTTGCACTTACTTATTTTACAGCGCTGTCATAGGCATACATTTTCTGTAAATTGCTTTGGATTTCATGGTTAAAAAGACATGCAGATACAATATATGCTCCAATAATTTTGGTGCATACATTTATTTATTTGTATTTGTATTAAATACAACATGTTAGCAATGGGATGAGTCAAAGGGAGAGGATGGTGGCCCAAGGCCTGTCAAGAAGGAAGAGGTGCTGCATGACTGTTCTGAGATCAGAGGAAAATGCAAAGAACCGAGGAGGATTAAAGAGACTCCAGGAAGCTTTAGGAGTCCCACAGACAAAAAAGGGGACAGAAAGGGAAGTGGGGGTAGAAGAATGAGTACAGCAATGGGGAGCATTATTCCATCACTAAGAGGGCAGAATTGCACTTAAAATCCATGCCAAAACTGATACTCATATAGACTAGGATCATCAGAGTGAAAAAATTACTTCTCTTTTCAAAAAGTAGAGATCAAGGAGGCATCCGATCAGGTTTTTAAAACACTGCATTATTTTATTGCACAGATATAGAGTACAAAGATTTGGGATTTTTGAGACGAGTTCAGTATACTAAAACTGAATTCATCTGTGTTCTACTTTTCTGTATGGCTTTTTTCCCAAGTAGATGTAAAGAATAAACATTATTTTGTCTGAAAAAAAATCGGTCCCAGTGCATATATTCTAATAAATGGAAGTAGATTGCATCGGAAATATGGTTGATGCATAACAGAAAATCATTTAAAAATCATTTCTGCTTGTATTGGTAATTATACTTAATAAACCTTTTGAAAAAGTAAAATGAACTTTGACCTAAATTACTAAGAAACTGTAAGACTTAGCAAGCCTAGGTTTTCTAAGCAAATGAATAAAATATTAACAAACATGATCACATGTTTCTGTTGCTGAGACAGAAGATGTTGATTGTGAATATAACCACTTGAGAGGTGTAAGCAATTATATACTAAGCCTTGTATTTCAGTCATCCTGAGAAAGGGTGTCATTATCTTGGCAGTTTAAAGCTATCTAGAAAGTGTATCCACAAAGTCTGGAATTCTATGTGTTCTCGCTTGTTTGCTGGTATCCCTTCCCTTAGGTCACAAGATTTTTCACGTGAGAGCTCCTTCTCTCTAATATACTGTCTGTGGTGCTGGGCATGTAACATGCAGAAGGAATTTTAAAGAAATTAATACCTACGCAGGTGCTTCTGTTGACACTTGAGCGGTCCTGAACACACGTACTGCTGCATTCTGGCTAAGAATAACTTGGAATTGATTCACTTGTGAATGTCTTCCTATTCTTCTTTTCTTTATTAAACAGTATTGCATTCAAGTATTCTGGCACGCAGAGAGGTAAAATACAAACATTTGTACAAATCTACGGAATGGCTTCTTCCAGGGAGGAAATAAAGACTGTTAACAAATCTGCTAGTTTCTTGGTATCACCTCAACCCTATCGACCCCCAACCTTCAGGTAACAAAGCCAAAAGTAAAATAAAATAGTTTTCTTTGGTAAATCAAAGACTCTAAGTTTATTTCTGGTAACAACTTTTCTTTTGAGCATTATAAAAACAGAATACTGGATGAAAGTGTGGCAGTTGGTGCATATTTTTTAAATGAAAGAAATTGTTCCCCAGAACTTTTCAATAAGAGAAAGCATGTGACCTCCTTTCTGTGAAACCCACAGTACAGTAAACAATTGAATCCATATTCAGCCAGATGCTTCCAGTGTGTAAATTACTCCCTGGGTAAATGTTAGGCACTTTTGGAGCCGCATTAACTCTTTCAGGCTTCGAGTATGCAATTTAGTAAATTACTGCTGCCTGTACTTAATGGTGCTCCAGGGACTGAAAAAGATTAATGTAGCTCCAGAAGTGCCTAAGTTACTCTCAGGGAGAGCATCTGACTGAATGGAAGTAGCTTGTGTCTAATCATTCTTTGTGAAAGGAGGTATTCTTTAAAATTCTTTAAAATAAAGTTACCTTCATTTTCAATACTGTACATCCGCCTCCCAAAGGCATACATACTAAGGCTCTGAATTGTTTTCTTTTTTCCTATTGAAGACAAGTTTTATTTTTTGGAAAGGTTTTCACTGACCCCTTTCTCTGCAAAACATCATGGTAGCTGTTCTTGTTCAACGTGGTCTTTTTGTCATTTTGGCTCAGTTGATTTCATTCTGCTTAATCGCGCCGCTGAAATTCCTTCCTCTGAAATCATCTCTTACTGCTTTTGCTATTACTTCTCTGATAGCCGTCGTCTTTCTTTCACATTGTTTTCTCTTCTACTCCCACTGATATTTATTATGGACCCCAGCTTTGCTCCCTCCTGGTCTCTATACCACAGGGATTTATTGATCTCTCTCAGGTTCAAGGTCTTGTGTGGTGTGATTCACTCCCCAGGCAAACATTCACTTCCCACGTATACCACCTCAAATTTGATTCCAGGCTATGGGTTATCTTAAATAGGAGTCTGATCACCACTTCACTACCTAATGACGGGGCCAACTTGTGGATCAACTCATCACATCTTATCTTCTCTGGCCACAGATTGTCTTGTCAGAAGCCTGGAGTAGTAACCGTCATTATAATAATACTAAACCTTTACTTTCCTCCTAAAGCCTATCCTTGTTATAGTCTCTTGTGACTTTTTCCACTTTTCGTATTCATTGTCACTTGGGACTATCTTTATCTACTCCTTTTTCATGCCTAGATGATAAATTCTTATTTTGCTTATCAGTTTTCCCCAAATCCCACCAAAGTCCAACCCCTTCCAGCTTCTACCTGACTAAATGAAAGTGATGTAATACTTTCTCTTTCTCTCTGTTTTGATGAAAACTTGTTTCTCTATGTAGAATTTAGAAAACCTCATATAATATTAATGTAATCTACTTATAATCTCTTGTTTTTAATACCTCTGTTTTAGTTTCAATAGATTTGAATATTTATGGTGATTTGTCTTATATACATTTTTAAAGTACAGCTAGTATACCTGTTACATTTAAAAAATAGTTATTCATTCTATAAGTCTTCAAGTCCCTCCTCTGAACCTAACAGGACTTGAGGAGCCCCAAAGCCCGTAAGAGAGTCAAAATATGCATGGATTAGATTGGAACCATTAACATGCAAAAATTCGTTAGTTAACCTAATGAAGAAATTGGGAGTAAATTGTAGGTAGAGACTTTGAGGAAGACGAGACAGCCCGTCAGCTGTAGAAATAAAAGAATAGTTCATGAAAAGATTTGGGACTCGATGGGTAAGAATTGGACAGGCAGAGGAGAGGGAAGAGAACATTAAAAGTGTTGGGAACCACAGGAGGAGGAGAGGAATAAAGGTGACAATTAATGTGGCACGCATGGGGGTGTTGGAGTCCTGGACCGCCTCTTGCCCATGACTAGACATATTAACACAGTAAAATATATACCATTTCCATCCATTTTTACCTTGTGGTTCTGTGTTTCTTGAAATATCATCTAATGCTTAGTCCATTAGATTTCTCTTCAGGACATTTAATTCATTACAGTAAACCAATTTTTAAACATAAAAAAAAAGAAAAAATAGGCGTAAGTTTCAGAATTTTGCAAAAGATGAGAAGCAAAACCAAATGTTGTCTTAAATAACAGTAAAGGAATTACCAGATCTAATTCGATGTAATCATTTTCATTTGTATTCTAGTTATTGTTAAATGACTAATTGATATTTTACATTTGAAAATTAGAAATTAGATACATGGAAAAAGAGCTGTGAGTTTTAAGATTACAAAACTTAAGAAAACTTACAGGGTGAGACTAAAAATAGAAAAGAAGATTACAAGGCAATGTGAGTAAGTTGATTGGTCCAATATCACCCTTCAATAAGCATTCTGATTGTGATTGTGGTACATGTATTAGGTTGAATATATGGAATTGCTGTAATTCAGCCATTTTTGACCTTCCCCCAAAAGCAGATTTATATAGTTCAATTTAGACATTTTAATGAAGCATGTTTGGCTATGAAATTTATTTTATATTTGTAATTTTGTTCCAGCCCTTGCCTGGACTCCCCTTCCAGACCACAACTTCCCCGGTGATATGGGACCCTGGAGGAGGAAGTCTACAATGTGGGAGAGATGAGTTACCAGGAAGATAACCTTTGCACTCAGAAGGCTTGCGAACCCCAGAGGAGACTGTCTGTCTGAGAGATCACCTTACCCACACTGTGGAATAAAAATATTGCCTCTGACATTAGGGAACTGGCATTCCCCTCCTCCACTGTTTGAAAAGGTCAGAACTGGTCCTTCAAGCCAAATAAGTTACTGCTTTTGAGGTGAAGCTGGTAAGACAGATCTGGGGCCTGCAGGCAAAGTGGGTTCAGTTTCCGTTTGTAGTCAAGGCAACTTCTTCCAAAAGAGGCTTTCAACCTGCCTGGGCTTCTAGGCCCAGTTGAGATCCAGTGTGACTCACAGGTTATAACTAGTGGACCTTCCATCCTCACGGAGCCTTGGCTACACCTACCACTTGGCCTGGGTCAGAAATAAAACAAAAACTAAAACGAACAAACAAACAAACTTAAAAACATAAAGGTAGAGAAAGAAAGAAAACCACCTCAGTTTGAATCTGGGGTTGTCATGTCTAGCTGTATGACGTTGAGCAAGTCACTCGACTTCTCTGAGCCTCAGTTTCCACAGATTATAGGGCTGAGTGAGATGAGGTTGTGACGGTGTTTGCACACTACATTGGACAAGGGGCTGAGCATCATCATATGGCCAAAAGCCTGACAAACAACACTGGTCCCCACACAAGCAACTCTGGTCCCTCCTGAACCCACACCAAGCCAAGTGTTCTCCCTGTGGCAGAGCACCCGTGCACAAGAGACCTGGGTAGCTGGAATCAAGGTTTCACCTCTCCGCTCAGACTTTCACTTTATATATACCTTACTTTTTGCTCTGTATGAAGTATTTTATTTCAGCCATAATTTTTTTCTACTTTAGAAAGCCAATAAGAATTAATCAATCAATAATTGCCTTGATGGGGGAAAAACCAATAAAAGTAGAGCTATAACAGGACTTGAACTTAATAACTTTGAAATATAAACGGGAGGCTTTATCCATGGGAATTTACAGATACTATTTGGCCACCAGACAGCTTCCATATTTCTTCATTACTGCAATACAAACATAAGAAATACGAAGAAAAAAAACTCTATATAAGTGCCATAAATTTCAAGCTGAATTCCCTAGTCCATACCATGGTAGTCAACCAAAGATGTCATATATATATATATATATATATATATATATATATATATATATATATATATATATATATGTCAGGCTTAATGTAGCATATATTTTGCTTCTTCAACAAAAATGTAGAATAGTTAAGTTTAGGAAAAACAAATATTTGGAATATTTCTCCTTTTACAGATAACTATCTTTTTTTTTTTTTCACTTAAGCAATCCATAAACTTCAAAGTGTCCCTAATCTCAAAGATTAAATTTTGTAACCCATTACCCATTGTGGCTCTCCTCAAAGGTCTTCTTATATTCTTTTAAGCAGAACAAGAGACCACAATTCATACTTCCCTTGCCTATTTCTGGCCCTTTATTTCATACGTTCCTAAGTTTCAGATAGTGAGATGGCCTTTTGTTGCTCAATTCCCACCTGAACTTCCCATATAGGCTTTATATTCTTTCTTTCCTCCTGAACAGAAAAATCAGTCAGTAAATTCTCTTTTGCTCTGGTTTTTTTTTTTCTTTTCTTTTCTTTTTTTTTTTTTTGAGATGGACTCTTTCTCTGTCGCCAGGCTGGAGTGCCGTGGCACCATCTCGGCTTACTGCAACCTCCACCTCCCAGGTTCAACCGATTCTCCTGCCTTAGCCTCCTGAGTAGCTGGGATTACAGGCGCGCACCACCATGCCTCGCTAATTTTTGTATTTTTAGTAGAGATGGTGTTTCACCATGTTGGTCAGGCTGGTCTCGAACTCCTGACCTCATGACCCACCTGCCTTGGCCTCCCAAAGTGCTGGGATTATAGGCATGAGCCACCACGCCCAGCCCCCTTTTGCTCTTTAAGAAAACCTGTCAAAATCGATGCTTCACTTATGGCTGAGCCCTTCTCATCCTGGTTCTGCCAGTAACCAGATGTGAGAATGTGGGCAAGTTGTTGGGTTTCTCTGTGCCTCGGTTCCCACCATGTAGAGAACAATTCCAGTAGCTCATGCCACAGGACCCTTCCAGCCCCAAGAGTTACGATTCTGTTTTCATTGGTTTAATTTCTCTTTCAGCTACTTTAAAATGATTCATTCTGGCCACTTCCACTTTCCATGATTATTCTTCCAGACTTCATCTTCTGTCACCCTGGCTTGCAGATCTGTTAAAACTATTTTATTCTCTTTGCTTTACTGCAACTTTACTTGGAATGACTTGGCCTCTTCATAATCAACATGAAAGGCCTCTCTCTCAGTCACTCTCCTTGACTTTGCTATCGTCTTTGATACTGATTGTTCTTACTTTCAGTCCTCTTCAACCAAGAGCTTGTGAACGTTATCCTATTCTGATTCTCTCTGATTACTTCTTTCAGCACAGACTTTAAACAGATCTTCATGGTCACCTCACCCCTGATGGTGAGCATCCACAGGAAAAAGATTGGTCCCAGGTAAGACAAGAGGGAAGCAAAGTCCTTTATCTTCTTAGTTCCCCCTAAAATACCCACCCCAGGTGCCCTGATTTTGTGAAGAAGAGGCCCTCAAAAGGTGAGTCTTCCCCTATCTTAGACCCAGGGGTCTAGGCCTCTCTTGTGGTTCTCTCTCTCTTTTATTGCTTTCACATTTATATGACAACTTGTCCTCTCAAAACTTCATTTCTTATTTAGTAAAACATCCTTAATGCAGCCTTCCAGAACTGTCTCTTCATTTTTCCAAATGATCCATTCCCCTAATTAGATTAATTAATCTATGCTAATGCTAAGGAAAGAGTCACATTCACCGTGATACACTAGAAACAGGATGGGCTTCAAATGCAGAAAATCCTAGGTTCAAATCCTATTTCTGCTTCTTAGGAGCTGTGAGACTTTTAACTTACTTAATTTACATACATTTACTTATGTAACAGGCAATAATGTAGCGTTTGCTGTGCGCTGTGTTCTGTTCAAGAAACTTTAACGGTGGTTCTTTTTAAGAAGAGTTTTAATTCATCTAATCCTTTTAACGATCCTATGGGGGTAGGTACTATTGTATTTCACAGTTGAGGAAACCAAAACACAGAGAGGCAAAGTACTTTGCATGATATTTCAGAGCTAGGGAGGAGGCAAAATGGGGATTTGAAGCTGGGCGGTCCAGCTCATGCTGCTAAGTACAACGCCACGCTGTCTCTTAGCTCGAGCTGGCTCAACTAAGCAAAGGAGGGGTGCATTCTCTTTGCAGTGTTGCTGGAATTAGAGATGATGTGTATGTCACATAGCACAGGGCCTGTTCTCTACTCAGCTCTCAATAGTGGCAAATTATATCTCCCTTGAGTTTTCTCTTATTCTTTCCGTCACTCTGAATCACATTTGTCGGTTCCTTCTTTTCTCCCCTGATTTAACTCTGGAGTATCAAAGGGCTTGGTTTGTAGCTCCATCTTCTCCAGGTCGTGAATTTAAATACTATTCATTTCTATCCGGACAACTCCCAAATTCATATCTTTAGCTCAGATCTGATCTGTCTCCTGAACATTAATTTGTGTCTGTATAATTGCCTACTTGACATTCCCACTTGGTTTCTAATAAATATCTCAAATGGACTATATCCAAACCTGTGAACACTCACAGCCTTCCACATCTCAGTTGACAGCAACTCCATCCTTTCAGTTGTTCAGTGCAAAATTCTTTAATACATTCTCTGTTACAGGTAGGATTGCATCCTGCAAGAAGATGCTGAAGTCCTACCCCCTAGTACCTGTGAATGTGAGATCGGGTCTCATATTCACAAAATGTGGTACAGAGACACAATGAAATACTAAGCAACCGGCTGGGCATGGCGGCCCATGCCCATAACCCCAGCACTTTGGGAGGCTGAGGAGGCAGATCACCTGACGTCAGGAGTTGGAGACTAGCTTGGCCAACGTGGCAAAACCCCACCTCTACTAAAAATACAAAAACTAGCCGGGCATGGTGGTGCTTGCCTGTAATCACAGCTACTCGGGAGGCTGAGGCACAAGAATGGCTTGAACCTGGGAGGTGGAGTTTGCAGTGAGCCAAGATTGTGCCACTGTGCTTCAGCCTGGGCAACAGAGTGAGACCCTGTCTCAAAAAACAATGGTCATATTAAAATGAGGTCATTAGGGTAGGCCTAATCCCAATATGACTGATGTCCTTATAAAAAGGGAATTCTACACACAGACAGGCAAACAGAGAGAGAAGACATTGTGAACACACAGGGAGAATGCCGGCTACAAGCAAAGGAATGCCTGAGCCTACTAGAAGCAAGGAGAGTAGCCGTCAGAAGAAACCAACCTTGCTGACACCTTGATTTTCGACTTGTAGCCACTAGAACTGTCAGACAATAATTTTCTATCATGTAGGCCACCCAGTTTGTGGTACTTTGTTATGGCAGACCAAGGAAACACATGTATCCTCCATTTCTGTCTTACATTCCATATGCAGTCTTTTAGCCTTTCTTGTTGGTTCCGGCTTCCATATTTATCCACAAGTGTCTGCTCACCCCCTCCTCTGCTACCACTGCGCACTGTGCCTGAGTCCCTCCATCTCTCACCTGGCTCCCTGCAGTAGCTGCCTAACCAGTCCCCCTGCTTGTACCTTGGTCTCCTCACAACCTACTTCCAACATGGTAGCCAGAGTGGTGCTCTTAAAACAGTAGTAACTGCACTCAGATGTTTATCGCAGCACTATTCAAAACAGCAAAGTCATGGAACCAACCTAAGTGTCCACCAACAGTTAACTGGATAAACAAAATGTGGCACATAGACACAGTGAAATACTAAGCAATCGGCCGGGCATGGTGGCTCATGTATGTAATCCCAGTACTTTAGGGGGCTGAGGAGGGCAGATCACCTGAGGTCAGGAGTTGGAGAACAGCTTGGCCAACATGGCGAAACCCTGTCTCTACTGAAAATACAAAAATTAGCCAGGCTTGGTGGTGCTTGCCTGTAATCGCAGCTACTCGGGAGGCTGAGGCACGAGAATAGCTTGAACCTGGGAGGTGGAGGTTGTAGTGAGCTAAGATTGTGCCACTGCACTCCAGCCTGGGCAACAGAGTGAGACCCTGTTTCAAAAAAAAAAAAAAAAAAAAGAGCTACTCCACAACCATAAAGCGAATGAATCATGTCCTTTGCGGCAACATGGATAGAACTGGAGGCCATAATCTTAAGTGAACTAACTCATCAGCAGAAGATCAAATATCACATGTTCTTACACATAAGTGGGAACTCAACAGGACATAAAGATGGAACTAATAGACACCGGGAACTCCAAAAGCAGGGAGGATGGGAAGGGAGTGAGGTTTGAAAAATTACCTATCGGTTACAATGTTCAATATTTGGGTGATGGGTACACTTGAAGCCAATTACACTCTCCACCATTACATATGTAATACCCATGGAACAAACAAGCACATCTACCTCCTGAATCTATAATTTTAAAGAAAGAGGGTGGGGGAAGAAGTAAGATCATATCAGTTCTGCTCAGTGTTTGTCACTGGTAGTAAATGTATTCCACTTAGAGTGAAAAGCCAAAGCCTTTACATAGCCAAGGAGCCTCGATGGTCTGACTTTGAACCCGTTATTCCACTGACCACGTTGCTGCTTCCCTCTTGCTCATTCAGCTTGTGCCACATTGATTCTTTTTTTGTTTGTTTGTTTGAGATGGAGTCTCGCTCTGTTGCCCAGGCTGGAGTGCAGTAGCGCAATCTCGGCTCACTGCAACCTCCTCCTCCTGGGTTCAAGCGATTCTCCTGCCTCAGCCTCCTGAGTAGCTGGGATTACAGGCATGCACCAGCATGCCTGACTAATTTTTGTATTTTTAGTAGAGATGGGGTTTCACCATGTTGGTCAGGCTAGTCTCGGACTCCTGACCTCAAATGATCCACCCGCCTTGGCATCCCAAAGTGCTGGGATTACAGGTGTCAGCCACTGCACCTGGCCGGCATTGATTCATTTTTGCTATTTGACCATACCAGGCACTCTTGCCTTACGGCTATCATGAGAACACAGCTCATAGCTCCCAGCTGTGTGCTACCCATGCCAAGATTATGCTCCTACCCAGCCAATGACTGAGACAAGCCATTTCTTCCGCATGCAGGACTCCTTGAATGAGCAGTCTCTACTGAGTGGCTCCCCACTGGTCTGTCTGAGGCCATCTCAGAGCTGCAGTACAGTCTGAGGCTCTTGCTGACCAAGCTTCCTTCCTTCCCTCTCTCCTTTCACAGGGAGTAGGCCGGCATTATGGTTTGCAGGCTCTCCCAGCCTACCCCTGCCGGTGTCCCCTTTATTTGACATGGGCATTGCCCTCTATGTTGTTGCTGTTTTCTCCAAATGCTTCTTCTCCAGTTATCTCCTGGGATAACTCTACTTCTCCTTCAAGCCTTTGCTTAAACATCATCTTCCTAGTGAGACCTACCCTGAGCTCCATTGACTGTATTCTACTTATTTTATTCATATTTATTTTTAGCTCTAGGGCCTGGCTCTGTCACCCAGGCTGGAGTGCAGTGGCACAGTCATGGCTCAGTTCAGCTTTCAACTCCTGGGCTCAAGCAATCCTCTTGCCTCAGCTTCCTGAGTAGCTTGGATTACAGGCATGCATTACTGTGCCCAGCTAAATAGTCTTATTTATTTTTTTTCTTGTAGAGACAGGGCCTCACTATGTTTCCCAGGCTAGTCTCAAACTACTATGTTTCCCAGGCTAGTCTCAAACTCCCAGCCTCAAGCGATCCTCCTGCTTCAATCTCCCAAAGCTGGGATTGCAGGCCTGAGGCCCAGCCATTTAAAACAGCATTCCGTCTCCGTTTTCTCTGCTCTGGTTCTTTTGCTCAGGGTCCTTTTTTTCTGCTTGTCAGTTTCTAACTTGTTATAATTTACTTAGTTGTCATGCTTACTGTTTGTTTTCTATCCACCCTAGATACCAGAGGTAGAATCTTCATCCTTTGTTCACTGATGCCACCCAAGCACCTAGACCAGCGATGGCAAATTTAAAACATTTAAAAATTGATGCCTTCCAGTTGTTTGCACACATTTAGAATTTTACTGCATATGTTATAAGAGGAAGGATCTAAAAATAAATTATTATTCTTTCAATGATGTCAGGTTTTTAATTTTGATGTTGCACCATTCCTGTCAATATTATAACATATAAAAGCCCTGGCTGTCATTCTTATGGTCCATTTATAGCTTTTGATTCCAGTTTTGTCAATAAAGTGCCGCTCCACTTGGCCTATTAATGGACTAGATTCATACCTCAAGGTCTGCTTAACACCTCCACTGCAGTCAGGGATTTTTTTTTTGGCAAAACCAAGTTTTTTGTCTTGTAAAGAGCAAGTGATCAATTAATGTGTATAACAATGTGTAATGAATAGGAATCCCAATCCACAGACTCAAGTGAGCTTAGAATACTGCATTTCCTTATTTTCTGTAGATCAACTTAATCCTGAATCCAACACATGTTGTCCCTGGGATCTGGAAATTCAATCTCGGTCAAGATTGTGTGACTTACAATGGATTCAGGTGCTGAGGAGTTCCCTGCAATCACTGGGCACCAGTCAAAGATACTGCCCAGGTCATGTTGTCTCCACATGTCTCTGGTCTCTGTGACTTGGAGAATTTTTAGGGAGACTGGAGTTCATTGCTAAGAGTTCAGCCTCCCTAAAGTGTCATCTAGCCATCTTCTTTAGGATCTTTCTGGGGAACACAAACTCATATTTCAAGGTTAGCATTTTAATAAGTTATCTTGCTTCTAATAATGGAGGAATGAGTTTGAATTTTTTTTTTTTTTTTTTTTGGACAAGGAGGTCTCACTCTGTCATCCGGGTTGGAGTGCAGTGGCATGATCTGACCTTGACTTGCCTTGACTGCACTGCAGCCTTGACCTCTCTGGCTCGAGTAATCCTCCCACCTGAGCATCCCAAGTAGCTGGGACTACAGGCATGCACCACCATGCCTGGCTAATTTTTATATTTGTAGAGACGGGGCTTTATCTTGCTGCCCAGGCTTGTCTCCAACTCCTGGGCTCAAGCCATCTGCCTGCCTGATCCTCCCAAATTGCTGGGATTGCAGATGTGAGTCACCACATCTGGCCCGTTCTTTATTACAGAGAGATGTTAAGCTATTTTCTCTCTCAACTAAGTCTCTGGAAAGTAGTTTCCCATACCTTTTATCTCAATTTCCTCTGTAGCATGAAGAGAAAAAAAAAAAACTGATGCAGTTTGCTAAGTAATCTTCCTGAATGGAACCATAAGTCATATACCAATATGGTAGGAGAGACGTTGCCGATATTATTATGGTCAAATTAATTCAATTAGCTCAGACTGACATGCTTCTCAGTGGCTATGTCAACTTTCCCATCCCTGGCCAGGTGCAGTGGTGCATGACTGTAATTCCAGTGCTTTTGGGATGCCGAGGCAGGAGGATCGCTTGAGTCCAGGACTTTGAGACCAGCCTGGACAACACAGCAAAGATCCATCTCTACAAACATTTTTTAAAAATTAACAGGGCATGGTGGTGCATGCCTGTGGTCCTACGTACTAGAGAGGCTGAGGTGGGAGGATTGCTTGAGCTCAGGAATTTGAGGTTACAGTGAGCTATGATCATGCCACTGCACTCCAACCTGGGAGACAGGGTGAGACGCTGTCTCCAAAAACAAAACCAAAACCAAAACCAAATACCCAACAACTTCCCCATCCCTGGACTTTCTGTTTTATGACGAATAAGAGGGTAGAACTATATTAAGTTAGTATGTCCAAAGTCTCTTAAGCATTACTCTGCCATGAATTTTTCTAGATTTGGCTGCACCATGATTTTGGATGTGGATCATGTTTTGTTTTCCCTGCTTTTTCTCACTCTCTCCTCTTCCTCCCTCCATTTTTTGTCTGTTTCTTTCTTTAACAAATATTTTTGAGAGCCTACTACATGCCAAGCACCATGCTAGGTACAGAGTATGAAGGGGCAAACAGAACAGACCTAATTCCTGCTTGCCTGGAGCTTATTCTGTTCTTTCCAATCCCATTCCTGATTTAAAAACATTATCTGTTGTGTTGGATAATAAATGCTCATTTTGTGACGGTCTTATATATTTCCTGAATATCACTAAAAATTACCAATAATTGGACTGGGCTCAGTGGCTTAGGCCTATAATCCCAGCGCTTTGGGAGCTCGAGGCGGGAGGATCACTTGAGCCCAGGAGTTCGAGGCTGCAGTGAGCAGTGATCGCACCACTGCACTCCAGCCTGGACAATAGAGTGAGACCCCTTCTCTGAGGAAAATGAAAAATAAACCAGCCAATATTGGAACTGTAGCATGAAAAAAAGCTTAATAAAAATCTTTCCTAGTTGCATGGCACTTATTGTAGGACATGTATTTGCAGCTCACAAAAATATCATTTATTTTTATTTATTTTGAATTCCCCAGATACATGGTATGAAACAAACCCAGAATTATTCTTTTGGTCCAAGGCTTGCTGTCATACCATTGTTTGAGCCGCCAGCAGCAGAGAAGCTGAGGAATGCTGAGACAAAAATCCAAGTGGGGAGGAGATGAAGGAGAGTCCACATGGCCTCTGGAACCCTGATTAAGTGGGCCCCTGAAATAACTTTAAAATGTAGACTTTAAAAGATATATCATACGATCACATAAAGGAGGTGGTTATGAATCACTGATGGTGGAAAAATTCTCAAGGAGAGTTCTAAAAACTGCTTGATGTTAAGCAGATGCATTATCTTTCAGACTGAACCACAGGAAGTGAAAGTTTCAAGACGATAGACAAAAGAGTATTTTTTTTCTTTTATCTTGATAGTTGGGATAAAGTTTCTGTCAGAAAATCCTAAGGTCGGCAATGATAATTTTAGGTAGTTTTGAAAGCTTAATTTTACTGCTCTGTAGCCTTTTAATAATAGTGACCTAATTTGCTGTAGATCCTGACAGCGAATTCTCATTAATGATAACTCCGTTTTGCAAATATTTGGAAATTTCACGTATAGCAATTACTTATTTACATATTTTTAACCCTCATTATTATTTAAATGACTACTGGTAATTTAGTTTTATGAATCAATAAAAGTTAGAATTATGTCTAGATGAATACTATTTAGCTTTTACAATAAACAAATATTTGAGATGAAGTTGTTTTCTGAAAGCTATCAACTATAGTTCAGAGATTGGCTTTCTGAAATTATTCTAAATAGAACAAATGGGGAGCTGTCTTTGCAAGTTATTTCATAATTAAAATCAGTCATAAAGAAACTCAACTCTATTTCTCAAAGCCTTGCTTACTTGAATCTTGCTAATAAATGAAGAACACAGCTTAATTTATCTTTAATTTAAATCAGTTAACACGTTAACGAATTAAATACTGCGTTTCTTAATTGTTTCTTGTCAGGTGGTATCCAAACTTGCAAAATGTTTACGCACCTGGGTGAGATTTCTGCAAAATGAGAAATAGACCTTCTACTTTAATGTAATTACTGAAATAATAGCACCTTATTCAGTTTGGTGCTTACCAATTTATTATGTACGTTAACACGATGGATCTCAAACTCTTTGCTGTCAAACACTGATGGATGTAACTGAGAAAATGTTATTTCTGTATATTTAGGTATCCTGAACTCATTTGCATTTGTTTACATTCTAACACATTTACTTTTGTGAGAGAGACAAGACAGGTATTCCCGTTAATGCTCACAGTATGCGTTGTACCTGAAAATGTCATATGTCATGCATATTGCGGTGGCAAAAATGTTGAGAAAGACTGAGGAAACATATTCTACCACATTTTATGCTCAATATATATCAATATTCCCATTTGAAAGATGAAGGCCCAGAAACTCAGACACATTAAATCACTGACTGATGTCGCAACATAGAAAAAGAGGTTAAATCAGAATTTTCCAGCTGGCTAACTGTAACATCTTTAAAGGTTCAAAGTGTTTTTCAGAGTTGTTATAAAACATGAATGACTTTAGTAATTTTAAATAATCAAGGGCAAGCTTCCAAGTGATTATCAATGAACACCAGTGTTAGTCAACATTTGTAACGTGTTTGGCAGTGGAACAATACGCCTAATTGGATTTTCTGGATCCTGTAAATTTTCATCACTTGTTTTGAAGCTTAAAAATTAACAAGCTAATGCTAACTTTTAAAAAGGAAATTATGTGTGTGTGTGTTTGTGTATGGGGGAAATTATTACATACACACACAGAGGCATACACACACACACATATATATGTATATAGAGAGAGAGAGAGAGAGAGAGAGAGAGAGACAAGAGAGGTATTCTAGTTAATGCTCACAGTATGTGTGGTACACAAAGATGTCATATGTCATGCATATCACAGGCACATATTTATATATGTGTGTATGTAATGATTCCTCCAATTTTTAAAAAAATTTATGGTAGGAAGTTAATATAAGATCTACCCTGTGAACAGAATTTTTTTGCATACAATACACTATTGTTAACTATAGCCACAATGTTGTACGAAAGATCTCTAGAACTTAATCATCTTGTATAACTGAGACTTTATTTATACCCATTGAATTGAGACAAATTCCAAAGTAGTAATAATGATGAACTATAGGTAACATGATTCTTAGTCATTTTTCTTTTCATTTAAAACATTTTCTGTATTCTCTGCGGTTAGCATTCTAGATGCTTTTCATCAGTGAGCTTTTTGTTTTATGAGTCAAGAGGAAAACGCTGGAAGCAAACCAAAGAAGAACAGAAAGAGCTAGATTCTTTCTTTGTTTCTTGCCACTGGCAGAGCAGTTGTGGATTAAGAGCTTCCTAACCCCGAGGTCCCCTCCATGTCTCAGTGGCAGATGACCCTCACCTGGCGAGAGCCAGTGACAACCGCGGCCCGAATGCCAGTTCTGAACTTACATGTCCTGCCTTAAGTTTCCTCCAGGTATGGCTGGACACGACCTACTGGGGAGGACCAAGCATGTAATTCACAAGCCAAGAAGGAAGGTGCAGATTTGGGTCACTGAAGGAAACTTTAGTTCAGGAGAGGTCTCCTGAAGCATAACAGGAGGTCTCACACCTGGTAAACACATATCTCAGGCAAGTGAAGTGGCTGAATATCTTCCATCCATCATCATGCATTGAGTTGTGGGGACCCAATCTGGGCTTCTGGTGCTCGGAATACCAGGACCTCCAGAAAGTCTGTCAGCGTTCAGCAAGACTCAAACCAATGGACTAGAATTTGGGAGCAGAACTGAAGTTCCTGTGAAGAGATCAGTGAGGGCGATGCACACTCCCTGGCCATAGAGAGGATGAGTTTGAGCCTCACAACAAAGGAAAAGCCCTGTGATCTCAAGCAAGGCACTTGGAAGGACGATGGAGCAGCCAAACTGTGTGAAATATTTCAGGCCTCGGTCCAGAAGTAAGCCTGGGGGGTGGAACTGAACAACGCCAGCCACGTCGGTGGCTCTGAGTTGGGAGAACCATACCTCACTCTGTTTGACTCTGAGCCTCTATCCTACAGTCACTAAAAATCTCAGGGGTTTGAGTTTGTGCTATATCATGGGGAAATGTGTTAGAGATTTGAAAATGGCCCTCTTACTCCTCCTGGGAAGAAATCATCAGCCCGTAGCAAGGGCCGAGCCAGCAATGCAAAGTGACAGTGACATCAAGCAGGCACATGCCCACTGCCCCAAGGAAAGCCAGCATGGGAAAGTCAGGGGACTTTGTTTAAAGACTGCACTTGCTTCATGAGATAAAGAAACTTAATGGCTTTTAAACCGGTGATAGGAATTGGACATTTCCAAAAAAAATTAACAGGAGGAACAAACACTTGTTGAGTCATTTATTGAATATCCTCTACTTGCTACGTGCTCTTTTACACACAAAACGCAAAGCCCCGTGAAAATCCTGAAAAATAAATGTCATATCTCCATTTTGCAGCAGAGTAAGCTGGGGGTTACAGAACTGGGTAGGATCACCTGACACATGGGTGGCTGTGCTGGACCCATATTTGGACCTCATTCTCCTGTCTTCAAAACCTGCGCCCCATGTATCTCAAATAAGGCTGCAAAGTTGAGGAAAAGCATTGTCTTTGCACATATCCAAATCATGTCTGTAATTTGCAGTTTCTGAAAAAGATGAAGTAGACAAGCAGGGAGTGGAAGGAACCCTTTCATGCAAAGTCTCTGCTGTTTACATAACTGCATGAAAAGAAATTTGGTGTGGCACATGCATGCTAGAGAGAGAGAGAGAGAGCGAGAGAGAGAGAGAGATATGGTGTGAGGGAACGAAGGGGAGGGAGAGAAGAAGGAGGAAGAGAGAGATTGTCTTCATATGGCATTCTGGAAGGGCTAGAGAACGCTAGCTGTGTTCCTTATACACTAATAGGTGGTCCAGGTGGGTCAAAGAAGAGCCCCCATCACCAAGTAAAGATAATGCTTTGTCACTTTTGTGTCTAGCGGCACAGTAGAAGTGGGAGTCAATTTACTAGCTATTGTGAGAAGGGTCTTGCCCATTTAAAAGACAGACTTGTTTTTATTCTCTCAGAGATTAGGTTGCTGTTAGTCCACAATGTCTTCAAATTACATCTGAAACAAGTATTTATTTCATTCTCGGAGCCTTTACTAATTCTTTGCCAGAACCTTACATCTGCCCTTGGGGCTTCTGGGAGATAAGATGATTTCAGCTCGCATTTTATTCTCCTTGATTGGCTTTATTTGGGGAAGACAGAAGACACCAAGTGAAATCTTGAATGGATTTTTCAGCCTTCTGCCTGCTTGACTTTTATATAAAGTGAGAAATAGGCTCAACATTAGCTGTGGCCTTCTGAGATAATCTAATAGAGAAAATCTGCAGAGAGCTTGGAGAATGACTTCATAATATTAAGTAAAGAAAAATACTCCACCATATGGCTCCCTACCAAATGTCTAGAGGACAGACTCATGCCTGGGGCAAGATTTGTTTTTTCATCCCCACCACCCCAAACTGAATGACACAGAGCCCATTTTGCTATCTGCTGAATAAATCTCCCTGTGTAACTCACTCTCCACAACATCCAGTCACACCCCTTCTGAGATTTGTGTGCCATGATACTTCATGAGGTCTGTGGCTTCATCGGGTGTCAAAAATAACCACAGCCTTTGTTGTTATCTATGCAAAGAATGACACAGCTGCTGGTCTACAGTCAAATTGATATGCAGGCATTTTAAGAAATTGATAAAAGCTGATAGCTTATAAAAGTCACTATTTTGTCATCCCTAATGGAATAATGGCTCTAGGCAATAATCATCCAAAGATACTAAAGCTTCAAGGTGAAAGGACAGGGACCTTTCTAATGGATAGATCAGGCAGACAACACCTGAACCCATGGATCAATCTTAGCATCACTCCAAGTGATGGGATGTGAGAGAGAACACACAGAGCCACTCTATAGAGGTGGAATTTCTTGCCTCACCTTCTCTTTTAAAAATATTCTGAATCTCATCAACAGATAACTGGCATTAAAAAGGGGATGGAGATTAATATAGAATACAGGAGACACAGGAGAAAAATACAAGGTGTGACTCTTGTTTGGAGCCTGACTTAAACAAACTAATTGTAACATGACATTCTTAAGACAGTCAGAGAAATTTCCAGATGGACTGAACGTTGGCTGCCATTAAGTACTTATTGGGGGTAAGGTTGGAGAATGGCATGGTGGTCTTATTAAAACAAGCAAACAAATGGGAGGGTCATAAATAAGCATCCTCATCTGTGAGAGCTTTATTTGGAAGTATTGGTAGGTGAAATAATGTGCTTTAAAGTGATGCAGCAGTAAATAGATAATAAATAATCTGGAAGGAATAAATGAACCCAGATCGGCAATATGTACATGCTACTTTTGAATATGCTTGAAAACGTCCATGATAAAAGTTAAAATATTCAGAGCTTTTGTTGTCTTTATCAAAATACTCTCTCCTCAAGAAGTCCTGTGGCTTTCTTTTCATAGGGAGAAGCAGAAAGACGAAAGATTAAATGCAGAGAATATGACTTCTTGTTATTATTATTTTTTTAAAATAAGGAGGAAGTTAATTGTCTCTTCCAACAGCACACACTAATTATGACCTGTTTACCTATGTAAATGAATTTATTTTCATAATTTTATAATTAAACTTTACAACAGCAAACTTGTATCAGGAAATATTTTACACATCTAACAGAAAATTTAGGATTTTTTAGTTTCAGAAATTTACTTTCAAGTTTTAGGTTCTGTCGCCTTTCTCTGAACCATTGTTCCTGTTTCACTGGCGTAGACACTTTAGATTGTCAAGAAAATGCCCTAACGTGGCTAATACTGATACCACATTGAACTTTTTCGTCAAAGGGGTTTTGCTTTCCAAATAGACACTCCTGGAACTCAGTGGATCAGTGTAAATCTTATTCTGCATTCTCTTTCCCTTTCCATTTTAAGTTTCATGTTTGTTTTGTAAATGTTTGTCCCTGTATCTACGTTTACTCTCTCACCGGTGGCAAATACGTGTTTTATAACCGAATCCCTGCTGGTACTTGTCCCATGTTGATGATATTCAGCAGTGCATGCAGTATACCAATAATGTCATATAGACGAGAAGAAGAAAATAGCCCGATCAGCCTATTCCCAATTTGAGATCAGAATGGCTATTTTTTTTTTTTCTAGCAACATTAAGGAACTTAGAGTGTTGGGGGGATGAAGAGAGGAAGAACAGAATTGAGGAGGGATGGCAGGGTTGGGAGAAAGCAATGCTACTGTACTACACAGACACAGGAATGACAAAAGAAGGAACACAGCAAGGCTTTTCTTCAAACAGAACGTGTATGAAAAAGCTCATTCAGGCTAGAGTCATCTGACACACACAAACAAAAGTAGCTGCCACTAGACAGATACAGTAGCTTACCGGAGATTGAAGTTCTAAAAGCTTTGTAAAATTACCCCTCATCTTTTTGACACCCTAAGTCCATATCTTACTTTGTTGGGGGATTGGCCATTTCCTGAGAGGCTGTGTCTAGGTGCAATTGGAGCAAATGCCTCTGTGGTCACCACCTAAGGCAAGAGATACTTCTAATTTCTGAAACCATCTGGTCAAAGGCCCTAATCAGTCTATTTTTTTTTCAAGGTACATCTTATGCCCCTTAATCCCCGGGGACTTTTGGGAGAGACCTCAAAAAAAAAAAAAAAATCGGAAGGTCATTGCTTTAGTCTGAATCAATTCAATAGAAAATTTTAGGAGAGGTGAGCTTTTCTCCAGCTTTCTTGGATTTAGTCTTTTTCTTACATCAAGTATAAAACATCCCATAAACCATAACAGAAGAGGGAGTTGGGCAGTTAGCCTTGACCCATATCTTTTAGGGGTCATCTTCCTAGTGTTAACTACCCCAAATTAATTACTTACAACACACGGGACTCTTTATGAATTCCATGTGAATACCTAAAATGATCATTTTTCATTGCACCTACTTATATAACAAGCACCCATTAAGTTTTAATTATCTCTTCTCACCAAGCCTTTCATCTTTGCGTTCTATCCACTGCTAGGGGCTTTTGAAGATGGAGACTTGGATTTAATATACACAGTTCATTGAAGGACTTACTTTGGGCCATTCAGGTTCAGAACTTGTTGATTGAAGCTATGAGGCCAACATGTTCCTCATACACGCAAAAATTCCAATTCCCTCTGAATTCAAATTACTATATTTTCTTAGGGAATCAGGGCCATATTTGGCCTGCAGTATCTATATCCCTTCTAGAATGGAAACTCCATGATGAGATCAAAGCTTAAAAACAGCTTTCTTTGTTCTTTTGGGCAAATCCAGCTTTGAAATTTAACCGAAAATATTGCTGCATGCAAGCTCTGCAGAGTTATATGACAGACAAAAAGAGAGTGAAAGAATGAGGGAAAAGGGAAAGAGAAGTGTAGAAAACAAAAATATGCAATTGGAAGCTTCTTTATATTCAACTAGTCATTGATTTCTTTTAATAAATTACTTGTCTTACTGACATATAGCATTATTTTGAATTTTATTTGTTTATAGCCACTGACGGATCGGGCTCCCCATCTGTTTGAGACAGCTTTTGTAGAAGCAGTATGGCCAAATCTAATTATTTCTCTTGCTACAGTGGTAATATGCTGTATCTTCAGAAGAAATCGATTCTAAAATGTATTCAAAGAAACCAGCTCACAATCTATGTCAAAGTATTCAATAAAATAAACTTTTCTGTCTGGAAAGTATTGAGGTGCATTACAACTCCAGGGCTGGAATAAAGGGTAGAACTGCTCTTGCTTGAGAGGCTGTAGCAATTCAATATTAAAGAAAACCACTCACTAATCACTCAATAGATAGATGTAGATTTGTTTTTTGAAATTTTACGTACCATTTATTTAATTTTATTTCACTTCCTTTAGTCTACGTGTTGATAACAAAATTGGTATTTGAGTACTGGCATTTGAATTTTGAGACGCTAAGAACCTGGCAAGAATGAAGTGTCTCTTACTTCAAGCATCACTGGAGTGTCTTCTACATACTTGGCTGTGACTGTAGGCTTTACTTTGGAGGCAAAAAGAAAGTAGTTAATTTGTGTGTCTTTTTAAAAAGGTGATCATCACGCCATGTAACTTATACTGGTTGTTTTATCACATGTAAGATAATACGACGAGCTCTTAAGCCATACAGCTGGATATTGTTTGGCACCAAAACAACCTGTTTCATCCAAACCAAATTCCTTTCCTTAATCCACTCATCTGGGAAACAAACTTTCCTGGCATGGTATCCACTTCAAGTTGCAGATACAACAATACCAAAACTGCTACCACCAATGGGTTAGCACCTATGGTGCTTGATTGCATGCAACAGAGAGGGCAGACCCTGAGTTACAGGAGAAAAAGCACAGAGATCCGATCTGCTTACCCATCTTACAAGTACTTTACTCAACTATTTGCTGTTAATAAAATTCTGGAATTTGGATCCTGGCTGACGTTTTCAAACTTCATTGATATGATAAAAAGGATTTGGATGCATTAAAATCAGAGTGGGAGAGGCAACTAGAATAACTTAAAATATAGTATGAGTATTTAATTTTAGGTGACTTGCTTATGTCTAATTTATGTTAGCTAGAGCTATACACATTGACTGGAGTTTAATCTGCTTTTAAGCTGTCTTTTTCTAAGTGATAACACAGTTATGATAAAAATGATAATCTCACAATGTAGACTGGCTCCTGCCTACTTCCTTTCTTCCTTGCCTCCTTTTTCTCTCTTTCTAACCTGTTTTGGGTCTTAGTGTAACATTTTCACCTATAGTGAATAAAGATTTGGGCTTAAAATTTAAATTTTATCTTTCTAAAACAAATTAGTAGTTTGCCATTATAAAAGGAAAGTAAAACTTAGCAGCAGTAGGCCTATGGTGGAACAAACAATATCTTTACTCTTTTGAAGAAACTATGTGAAAGTTGTATAAGCCAACATGTTGAAATATCCAAAAATAATAGATTTTATAGAAACCCCTACAGAAACATTATATGTTGACTATTAGATATATTGAAAAACATTTAAAACTATATTTTTTTATCTTGGGAGGCCAAGGTGGGTGGATCACGAGGTCAGGAGATCGAGACCATCTTGGCTAACACGGTGAAAGCCCGTCTCTACTAAAAACACAAAAAATTAGCCGGACGTGGTGGCGGGCGCCTGTAGTCCCAGCTACTCGGGAGGCTGAGGCAGGAGAATGGCTTGAACCCGGGAGGCAGAGCTTGCAGTGAGTCGAGATCGCACACTACGCTCCAGCCTAGGTGACAGAGTGAGACTCCATCTCAACAACAACAACAACAAAAAACCACAAAAACTATATTTTTTATCATGTTTGGTAGCTTGAAAAATAAATTCTTTCTGCCTACCCAAGTTTCTGAGTGCATTGATCCAAGGTCATTTTAAATGATGAAATAATAAAATACTCCCATGTAAAACAATTGCAAACAGTTGCATGTTATCATTGAAGTTTGGCTTAGTTACGTGGTGCTTGACCTTTTCTCCTTTATTTTGCTCAGTTCCAGCACAGAAGTGGAGACACAAGTTGACAGCAAGCATCAGGTAGCTTTAAGCAATGTGCACAGTGGTTCCAATTATTTTAAGGTAGTGGGTGCCCATGGATAATTGCTTCCACATTTTCTTATTCCTAATTTGGGTCTCCCTGTTCCTCAGGAGCTTCATCATGCCCTCTCTGAGCAGGCCCTTTGCACCCCTGGGCTAGATCAGACATCCAAAGCCATCTATTCCCTAGTGCAGGGTTACCATTAGCAATCTGCAATGGCTGTCACAGAGCTGTGTGATCAGCCGGTGGTATTCTATATGACCAGAGTTGCTGGGGAGATGACGCAAAAATAATCTTGTGGGAGAAATAAAAGAAAATATGTAATGAAATTGGTACTCTAAAAAAATATGTGGTCAAGTAAGCTTAAAAGTACATTTACCATACTTCTGTTCTAAAAAGTATATATAATGATTTTACGGGCAGTTGATGACTTGAAACCTAGACTGTCTGTTAGAGTTATAGTGTATACAAAATTATAGATGTTGGGAGATTTCTCCATTGTTTTAGCAGAAACTATCAGCCCTCTTTATTTAAAGGCTAGCATATCCCCAGGCAAATTGAGTTTCCATGCTCAGTTGATTCAGAGCCTACTTCAAGGAAAGGCTGCCAACTATGTCAAAATGTATACTGATTTTGTGATATACATAGTTTTCCAAAGGATGAAGTGAGATCACCAGTCTCAATCCATTTGTGACTTGACTTCGATTTAAAGTTGCCCTCAAGAAATAGCTGGCTGGTATTATATGTGTACTGAAATATTTTTCATTGAGGTAGGTCGCTCCTTATCCTTTAGTTTACTGATTATGAGTCACTAAAATTATCTTGAAAAATTAGAAAAAAAAGTCCTATTATTGAGAGAATCCATTACATTAGTATAAGGCAAAACAGCCTACTTACCATCAACAGGAACATTTTAGGAAATTTGTTCTTTTTGACATTTTCTAAAAGAATAGCTCTTCCTACAACATTAATGCTAAATAGATGGAAAGTGTATGAAGTATAAGAATATACACAAATTGCATTTTAATTCCTATTTTTCTTTTAAAAGATGTCAATGATAAATCCAAATGTGGCTTAAATATACACTTTGCTTCAAATGTTTAGGAAATGATGCCTAACACAAAGAAAAATAAAGCTATTAATTTTCCATCTGTGTAACTTGCCCTTGAACTTTATTAGACATTTGTCATTTGCTTTTGCAATATAAAGTCCAAGATTCCAGTTTAAAGGATGTAAACATTAGTTGCTTCTGCCTCTCTACCCCTATTTTAGGATATAGGCATTTAGTTTTCTTAATGTCTATTTTATATGGACAATTTAAATACCAATTTAAGTGGTATGTGACTCACATCTACTACCTGCCAAAACTCCATATATTTCTACTTTTGAAGGCTTTTAAAACTTCTATTTGGAATATTTTAAATGAAAATACATCACCAACAATATAAAATCTGTAATATGAATTAATGTTTTTTTCTTTCAACATTTTGTTGGTATGTAAGATGTCCCCCCTCCCAAGTGAAAAGACAGAAAAAGATTAAAAGGTATGGTGTGGGGTGCCGGCATGCCGGTGATCTGCTAACCAAGCTGGCTACCCTTTGTTGCTTTAATGGAACTCTGGATTTATTAAATTCATTAACTGAATTTGAATTTAAATATACAATTGTATTCCGTTCTCTCTTCCTCCCTACTCTTTTCTTCATTTGCTCCTTTTCCACTCCCTTCCTTCTTCACACATAATGAACATCTCCTGTTGAAACAGGGGCTGTGTCAGACACTGGAGCTACGTGGTTATCCAAACAGAGGCTGCCCCCAGCTTCAGTGAGTGAGTCAGTCAGTGAGAGAGACGGGCAGTCAACAGATACTCATAGATTCCTGTAATTACAAAGTATGACAAGAGCTAGGACAAAAACCACTGGGGGCCTGGAATGTGGGGACTGGGACACCAAATTTAGATGAGGAGTTGAAGAAAGGCTTCCTAGAGGAAATGGCATTTGAGTTCAGTGTATCATAACCAAACAACAACAATTTTTTGAAGATATAATATGTACAGAATTTAATACTTGATTCTGAAACTAAAATTAATAATAATCGATTCACCAAACCAAACAAACAACAACAACAAAAAACCATTCAATGCTCTGATTCTTCACCTCAAGGATTTTTATAGTATAATTATACTTGTGTATTATGATTTTATTAGTGAATCAATACATTGTCTAGATATAGTTATTGAAATACGTTTATATACATTCTCCCCCATAATCATCCATTAACCCTGTGCACTAAATAGGTAATTACATTATTTAATAAATATTGATTTTTCACTGTGTCGTAGTATGTATTCTGCTAGATTCTGAGAATATGATACTGAGGGGAGACTGTCACTGGCTTCTACAATGTATAATCAAGTATTCTAGTGGGATGAATACTGTGTATGTGAAGTTTTCTCTTGGGGATCAACTCCTGGTGGTTTGAAGGACATGGGAGGGCTGTATATTACTGGCTTGAGGTCAAGGGAGACATTCTGTGAAGCAGTTTCCAGCCTACCCACTCGACACAGGCAGAAACCAAAGCCCATAAATATTAGACAACATGCCCAGCTTCAAACATCTCAGGAATTTTACAAAATTATTAAAAAACTCTATCTGATGTAGAGTGAAGCAAGTATGATTTACTCATATCATTACTGTATTATTGACACAGTTACTCTAATCCTAATTTAGGATATTTGCATTCCAAACAGTTTAAATAGTTTACAAACTATCAGGCAACTAGAAAGTCTAATTCTTATTGTTTGATAATAGAGTCCAAAAAAGCAAAAACAAACAAACAAAAAGACCTGAAAATCTGTCATTTAATTTATCATTGAACTGATTTTCACTCTAACTTTCTCTGCAGAGGTACTTAATCACCCCTGCAACTGCCTATATTGGAAAAGATGGAACCAGAACAGGCAAGATTATGTGTCTATGTTCAGGAAGAAAGGCAGATAATCTTCATTTTAAAATTCCCATTTTAAGTATACCCTTCAAGTATAATTTACTTTCTTTAACAGTATGAACAGCTTGAAATGTGCAAAGGATTTTAGTTCAAAGAAGCTTACTTGTGAGTTTTAATGGAGAAGGTTAATTTTTAATTTCTTCCAAGACTTCATAATATGATAGGAAAAATTATCAGGAGATAATTAGAAGAAAATGACATTATAATACCCAAAGAAAAACATATTTTGTAAGCATTCCAGAAACTCAGCACAATCCGAAACTATAATCCCAGTTGGGTGGGATCAGCATTTTTACAACACATTGAAATGAGAACATTTAGTGCGCTGAGCCACAAGGTTGACTTCATTGTTCGTTCTCTATCAAAACCCAAATTTTTAAATAACAGTACACCACTGGACCCAGATTCAATGGTTTCCCAAAGATCAATTTTTACTGTCAGATGTTAGCAAACTAGTGTCTGCCTAGTTGGATGATCTAGACATGCCTGAATTGTTAGGATGTTCAGGGTGGCCCATCACCATTGTAAATTACAGTAGTTCACAGCAATGATAAATGTTTCCCGTCTGCTGATATACTGGCACATTTAAATTATGTTGCATTACTATTCTGTCTCTTTAAACAAGAAGAAAATTAAGCTTCAAGTTTAATTAAACATTATCTTAAAAATTGGGTTTTGGTTTATAAAATTCACCCTGTGATTCTTCCAAGTTCCTTCCTTGAGAAAATAGATTGCACGTTTCACTGGGATTTGACCTTAATTAATCCTGTACTTTGTGATCCGCCCCCTTGCTGAAATAGTCTTATGAAAAGGAATGCAAGCTATGGGCTAAGATAACAATCGGTCATTAACTTCTGTGTGTGATGCTGGCCGTGGTCCATGAGCATGGAATTCAAAACCCATTGTACACAGTAATGTCCAGGGCTTAGTGCTCTATGGCCGAGAGACAAAATAAACTGTGCAGAACAGCATCTTTACACAGTCTACATGGATTTACATTAGAGCAAACGCTCTGAAACATTCATAATGCAGCATGTGCATTGACATCGAATCCTGCCGTGTCAGATGACACAGGAGATAGGTCATTCCAGCAATGCCAACTGAAATCAACAAGCAAAAATGGTCACTTTCCAGATACCATTATTTTAGTGAGAATAATTTACAGAGTTATCGCTTAAAGTTTAAAAAAATCTGATTATTTCCTTCTGCTGTTTTAGGTAGTATCCTAGGGCAGTAGCTCTCCTTACTAACATAACTTGACTGCCTTCTAAATAAGAAAAGTGTTTGAATTAATAAATATTTGTTGCCCGTTAATCTAAATCATATGTAGTCCAGATAAATATAACACATCTGCAGTACTATTAATAAAGCAAGTGCCTATAGCATCTGAAATCTATTATGTAGCGTAGCTTTTTCTTTTGGCTGGGACATTCATCACCTCCCCAATAAATTTTTAGCCTTGGGAATCCGAAGAATGCCAAGTGTTGATTTCCTTGCATTTGTGCAAGTAATCAAAGAAACATCTTGTAACTCTCCAGCACAGTAATGATGATTTTATAATATCATTTTCAGATTCAAGATGACTTGTCTGATCTTTGGATACTTTTCATTCATCTCACATTTGCTGAATACCTACTATGTGCTGCATACTCTTCTAGCTACTTGGAATATAGCAGTGAACCAAGTTAAGAAAAACACCTGCCCTCATGGAACATACATTATAAAGGCATAGATACTCATACCATGAGAGGTTGGCATACAACTTTTGTCATGGGTGTCTATTGAAAATGGAAGACACTTATGCAATATTCTGAGAGTATGAATTGTTGCTCTTATATTTCAATTACTAAGTGCTATGGTCTATATATTTGTGTCTCCTCAAAATTTCCACATTGAAACCCTAACACCCAAGGTGATGGTATTGGGAGCTGGGGCCTATGGGAGGTGATTAGATCATGGAAGCAGAGCCCTTATGAATGTGAGTAGTGCCCTTAGGAAGGAGACCCTGAGGGCTCTCTCACCCCTTCTTCCATGTGAGAACACGGAGAGAAGGCACTGTCTAGAAACCAGGAAATAAGCCCTCACCAGACACAAAATCTGCCTTGATTGTGGACTTCCCAGCCTCCAGAATTGTGAAAATCTTCTCTTGTTTATAAGCTATGCAGTTTATGATATTCTGTAAACAGACTAAGACACCAAGTGCTTCTGAGTCTTGACATGTAATACCAACTTGTTTGGTTCCTTTCATTTTCATGCCCATGAGAATAACCTTAGTGTATATCATTGCAATAACCTCCTAACTGATCTGGTACCACCTAACCCTTTCCTGACTCAAACTCACTTGGAAAATTAATTAAATAGTTAATTATCTAGCAGTGACCCTATGCAAGATGGCTCTGAATCTTCTTAAAGCACTCTTTCTACCATGGCAGCCCTTCGTTAAGTGGCTCCCTATCGTCAACCAATTCATGCTAATCTGCTAAATCTAGGACCTGCGCCCCTTTGTCATCTGTGCCCAAGTAGTCTTTCCAAACCCTTGTTCCTCCCCTCCCCACAACATGTGCTAGATTGCCATCAGACCATCCTTTTATCACTGGCCCCTTCTTGCCATGATTTGCTGCACCTCTAGTAATTCTATTGCAGGGGCTCTCTCTGGCTGGTAAGAGGACTGTAAGCCTTTGCACTTGCTGTCCCTCTGCCTGGTATAGTCTTCCAGACATTTTCCTGGCTGATTCTCTCCTTTCAAGTATTGGCCCAAAGACCACTTCTTCAGGGAGGCTTGAGCATCAGGCTCACATCAATTCAGGTAGCCACTCCTGCAGTGCTAGGGAAGGGCAAGGAAGCAGGTGAGGAAAAAAATCAGATTGTTTACAAATATACTAAATTCTGCCTTCCCCTCCCATAATGGGATATCCAGTGGAAGATTCCTTATCTGAAAATGTAATAAGAATCCCTCCAAATTGTATAATTATTATGTCCTAGAATAAAAAAAAGCTACAGCTTCGTGAGTTTAACCTACAAGAAACCTGTGAGATAAATTTCTCAGTTAATGGTTAAGGAGATTTTTAAAAAGTCTTATGTAATATTTATTGCAATGTTGAAACTAAAAATATCAATTTAAGAAATAGAACCATACGTATGTGGCCACTGAATTTCAGAAAAGGTGCTAAGGTAATTCAATGGGAGAAGGATGCTCTTTTGGTACAGTGCTGGAAAACTGCATGTGTATAAGTGTATATATATGAACGAATGTATCTCATGCCTTATAACAAACTATAAACAGAAATTAACTCAAAATACAGAATTATACTAGTTGTAGATCCAATCATGAAAACTCAAAATATAATTTCTGGAAGGAACACAGAGAATCATCTTGACTTTGGGATAGGCATATATTAATATTTCTTAGGATGCAAAAAGCAGAAACAAAAAACTTTATCAAAATTGACATTCGTTAGAATTAACCCTTTAGAAAATGAAAAATCAAGCCACTGACCAAGATCTAGAATCAGAATATATAACCGAAGCATACAACTCACTAATAAAAGACAAATAATAAAAAAGACAAAAAGTGTGAATGGAGATCTGCAAATAAAGATTACAATAACCAATAAACACATTTTTAAAAGCTCAGGATTATTAGCCCATAGAAATGCAAATTAAAGTCACAATGATTTATCTCTGCACACTCATTAGAATGGCTAAAATTAAAAAGACTAACCATACCACGTGTTGGTGAATTTGTAAAAAACTGGAATTCTCACAGATTATTGGTAGGAATACAAAGTGATACAAACACTTTGTAAAACAGTTTTCCAGCTTTTTATAAAATTAACATATATTTAGTATATGACTCAATAATTCTACCTCTAGGAATTTATCAAAGACAATGAAGACATATGTCCTTATAAAAACTTGCACACAAATGAACATAGCAACTCTATGCACAGTAGATTAAATTGGAAACAACCTGAAAATATTCATCAACAAATATAAAGATAAACAAATTATAGTAGGTGTATTCAATGGAATAATACTTAGCAATAAAAAGGAATGAGCTACTGATACATGCAACTACATGGACACATATACAGTATAAGACAATTTAAATGAAATTCTAGCAAAAGCAAATCTAATTTCTAGTGACAGAAGCCGCTAGTTGTGCCTTCCAGTCCTTAGTGACAGAAGACTGTGGTTGCTGGGGAGGACAGATGTGTAGGACTGACTGAGAAGGGTCACAAGAAAACGTTCAGGGTGATGGAAACGTACTATACTTTGATTGTGGTACTGGATTCATGGTGTATAAATATGTCAAAATTTATTGAAATACACACTTAAATGGGTGAATTCTATTATATGTAAATTATACCTGAATGTCAATAAAACATTAAAAAAATACAATCCTGAGCTTATATTTCCACTCATGGTTTATAAAGCTTCTTCACATATGTTATTTTCTTTCTTTCTTTTTTTCTTTTTTGAGACAGAGTCTCACTCTGTCACCCAGGCTGGAGTGCAGTGGCGCAATCTTGGCTCACTGCAACCTCGCCTCCTGGGTTCAAGCAATTCTCTGCCTCAGCTTCCCGAGTAGCTGGGATTACAGGCACCCACCACCTACCTCAAGCAGGTGGAGGTAAGTATGAGCTGGTGGTGTTTTGTTGCCATTTTGCTGTATCCATCGATGTAGCAGGACAGCCTGGGGATTAACATATGATGGTAGTGGGCTGATGTGTGTGTGTTTGTGTGGGTATGTGCATGCATGCTTATTCATGCATATAACAAAGTATAGATACATAAAATATCCTTCCTATGTGTTGAAGTGATGAAGTATGGTCCCTTGACATTCACAAAGACTGATGATCATGATGATGATGATGATGATGGTGGTGGTGGTGGTGGTGGTGGCCATCATCATTATCCAAATCGCACATAATAATAAGAGCATCCACTTCATGGAGTTATATTGAGGATTAAATTTGAAGCATATAGAAAGCACTTAGGACACTACTTAGCAATTGGTAAATACACAATAGGTGGTAACCGCTATGATTAATGTGATGTCACCCCTTACACTTCAGTGTTCTTGTATACAAAATAAAGGTAAACATAAACCTCGTGTTTCAGGATCTTTGTGTGAGTTAATGAGATAACATATGTGCAATCAGTCGCATCAGTAGCCCCCGTGGGGCCATGGCCACAATGACTGTTGAATGCATGTAACTGTGGCCCAGGACAGAAAGGCCTAGCCAGGGAGTAAAAAGACTCTGGAATGAGGATGAGGTCCCTTTCCTAATTAGAGGTGAATGTAAAACAGTGACAGCTCTGCTCTGGACGCCCCTTGGCCCCCCAGCGCCTGCGGCTCAATGTTCACTTTGTGCAAGCTCAACTGATCTCCGAATCTGAGGCCCTTCCCTAAGGAAATCTAGGGAGTCCTGCCTGCAGACTTGTATGTTGATCTCACGTGTCCTCTGCACTGTGTGTTGGCTGAGCTGGAAGCAGCCCAAAAAGGAAATAAGTCAGACTAAAGTCTGTCTGAGTCATTATATCTTCTGAGTTGTTCGTGGGATGGGCCTAGCACAAGGCCTAATGAATTGTCTTCTTTCTTCCCTTCCGAATATTGGTGTCTATCACTTTACAACATTTTGTCTCCTCATTCTCTGTGAAGAGCCCACTCTCTGGAACATGAGAACATAATTTGATTGCTGCTGCTCTGAATTTTCTTTGCTTAATGTGTTGTACAGTAATTCAATTACCAGCGGCAGACAGGTAGAAGACTTCCTCAGTCTATTTATTCACTTAGCAGAGAAAGAAGAAACTGAATTTCCAGGTCTACCTAAAATGGAATGGGCTATGCAACAATTTCCAGATAAGGCTCTTATTCATTATACAAACAAAGAAAGCACAACCTCTCCGATTTAAAAGAAGAAGAAAAAGGCCCCAATTTAGAAACACACGATGATTTGCTTCCAAAAGAAAGGCAACACAAATAGCTTTATAACAATGTAAAAGTATTTCCACAGATCACATCCCTAATTACTTTTATGAGTTTAAAAGCTTGCTTTATTCACGACAGGCATTATGACAAGGATGGAATAAACCACAGTTCTTTAAAAAGTCTAATTCTGTGACTATAATACCATACAATATAATACAGCAATACTTCAGACTTTCAAGTAAGTTTTTTAAAAAACAAAACATATCCCACTAGACAAGCAGCAAGCATGGAAAAACCCTACAATATATAAAGAACAATTTCCACTCCCTGAACTCTTTTACCATAGGTTTACAGCTTTCGATTACATTTCCTGGAACTACTAAAATCATAATTGTTGTCCTCTTTTCTGTTAGACATATTCTGTTCTCTCTCGTTTGTTTGCTGTTGCATGTAACTGTAAGTAACTTAAGAAAAGCATGTACCAGTTTGATGAGAAAAATGTACTTTTTTGACCACAGTGAACAAATGCACTTAGGTATA